>NC_000010.11:53173398-53324913 GCF_000001405.40 Homo sapiens
AGAGATTAAGTTCTTAATTTTTTTACTCTGTTCAAAGTAGAGTTCTATTTTCTAAAAATTGATTGGTAATTTGTCTTTGAATAGCAACTTGTATAACTTAAGAATTTACACATAATTGTCTTAAGAATATGTGACAATTTTTATAAATCAGTCTGTCAAAAATATGCTTTAAGTAAGAATATATAAGTTGTATAACTATACATTTATTTCTACCTAATAGAAAAAAATGGGAAAAAGTGAATTTTTTATATTCAACATATTGTCTAAGTAGCTAGCTATTTTACATGGGACAAACTTAGCCTCTTTCTAAAAGATCCAGCAAATTCATATGACGCCAAACACACAGACAAGATATGAAAAGTCATGGAAAAAATAATAAGAAAGATTACACATGAAGGGGTGATTACCTAATTTTGCTGCTGCATTTAGATACCAGACTCTGTGGTCTCTACCTGGTACCCTCATGTCTATGTGACAACACTTGAAGAATTTTTTCTCTCTGTATGTGCATGCGTGTGTGTGATATTTTAAGTGTGCATACAATATGTGAAGAGTGTGGCTTCCAGACTGTATATTGCTTAAAGTACAGGTTTATGCAGTCATGTAATGATCCATTGAGGATCTATGTTAGCTTTGTAGTCGTCTCCAGTTCATCACCAAACACTTGGGATAAACTTTAACCAATATGAATGAGGAAAGCATTCTGATCTGAACTGGATTAAATTTTCTTCCTATTCTGTACCCTACATAGTTGTGTTGTATTTGCTCTCAGTCATTGTTATTAAGGCCTTATTAGAGGCCGAATGTCCCTAGTCTTTGTTTATGGATTTGTTTAAAGTAAGTGCTTTTAGTATAGATTCTTGAAAAATCGATTTGTCAGGACTGCTTGCTTCCTTCCAGTGAAGTTTGAAAAACTCTGGCTGTCTACTTTCTTCCCACAAGACTGGCTACATGAAATTTCAGCTCAAGCTCTTGATCCTTAAGCCATCTCTTTAGTTTTCTCCTCCCTAATGTGCATCCTCTACAAACTGGAGGGTGATTTGCAATTTAAATATGATTTAGTGAAAAAGGTCATTTTCTTCTTAAAGTCAGCACTCAAAAGATATTCTCCTGCCTCTCGAATAAAGCAACTAAGGAATACAATTGCTTAATTAATCCTCTCTTGCCCTACTATGTAACTTAGGGTAGACATTTTGAGGCAGAGAAACTAAGGAAGGCTATGCTAACCTTTAAGCGAATTAAAACATAGTCAACTTTTAACTTTCCAGATGCACTAGTTACATAAAATGAATGAAAGAAATTAGGATTTTTCACAACTTTATTCCCACCAGTGAGATATTGTATAAATATCATATATAAAGCAAACAAATATGTATTGGTAGGAACATATTTTTGAAAAGTCTAGATCTAGGTGCTGACTTCATGTACTTATCTTTTAATATTTTTGATGCTCCTATTCCCATCTTCCATTTGTATCAGTTGCAAAAATAAAATGAGAAAGGAGTAAAATTCAATGAGAAATGGATAGCAAAATTAACAATAGATGAGAACTTCTTCAACTTTATAAAGAACATCTACAAAGAAACCTACAGTTAATATTATACTTAATGGTGAGAAAATAGAAGCTTTCTCATTAAGATCAAGAAAAAGCCAGGATGACCCCTCTCACCACTCTTTTCCAACATTTTACTGGAAGTCCAGGCTAATGCAAAGCTGTGATCTAAATGTTTGCATTTCTTCAAAATGTATATGGGAAATCCTAATTTCCAAGGTGATGACATTAAAAGTTGGAGCCTTTCAGAAGTGATTAGGTCATGAGGGTAGAGCCTAATGGGTGGGATTAGCACCCTTGTAAAAGAGAGATTAGGGAGGAAGAAATAAAACTGTCTTTGTTCATAGATAACACTCTGTTCTGTGGAGAAAATCTCAGACTCTACAAACCAACTCTCAACTAATAAGTGATTATAGCAAGGTGACAGAATACACAGTTAATGTACAAAAGTAAGTCACTTTCCTATATACAAGCAATGAACAAATTAATTTTGAGTTTAGAAACACAATCATATTTATATTAGCACCAAAAATTAAAAAAAACTTAGATATGTCTAAAAAAACATGAAAAAAGCCTACATGAGGAAAACTACAAAATTCTCATGAAAGAAATCAAAGATGAACTAAATAAATGGAGAGGTGTTCTGTGTTCATAGATAAGAAGACTCAGTAATCCAAATATAAATCCTAGAAAGTTATTTTGTGGATATGACAAACCAATTCTGAAGTTTATATGGGGAGATAAAACATTCAGAATAGCTAACACAATACGGAAAGAGAACAAAGTTAGACTGACACTACCTAACTTCAAGATTTACTATAAATCTACAGTAATCAAGACAGTGTGATATTGGCAAAATAATAAATAGAAAAATGGAACAGAATACAGAGCCCAGAATAGACCCATATAAATAAAGCCAACTGATCTTTTTGACAAGAAAGCAAAGATTATAAATGGAGAAAAACTTTGCAACGAATGGTTCCAGAGCAACTAGGCATATACATGCAAAAATATGAATTTAGACACAGATCTTACTCCCTTCATAGAAACTAACTCAAAATGGATCACAGACTTAAATGTAAAATTCAAAACTGTTAAATGCCTAGAAGATAACAGGGAAAAAAAATCTAGATAACCTTGGGTATGGTTCTGTTATTTTTGTTACAACACCAAAGGCACAAAGTAATTGATAAGCTGGACTCCATAAAATTTTTAAAAATTCTATGAAAAATATTAAGAAAATGAAAAGACAATTCATAGTGAAAATCTTTGCAAAGGACATATCTGAAAAGGGACTGGTATCCAAAATATAAAAACTCTCAAAAATCAACAATAAGAAAACAAATGACCCAACTGAAACATGGGCAAATGATCTGAAGACACCAAAGAAGATATGCAGATGCCAAGTAAGTATGTGAAAAAAGTTCAATATCATATTTCATTAGGGAACTGCAAATTTTAAAAGCAATGAGACACCACTATACACTGATTAGAACGGTGAAATCCAAACCATCTTCAATGCAAATGCTGGTGAGGTTATGGAGCAACAGGAACTTTCATTCATTACTAGTGGGAATGCAAAATGGTATAGCTACTTTAGAAGACATATTGATGGTTTCTTATAAAACTACACATATTCTTAGCATGAGCTAGCATTTGCATTGTTTTGTTTTACCCAAATAAGTGGACAATTGTCTCCACAAAAAACCTGTACATAAATGTTTATAGCAGTTTTTATAGTCACCAAAGCCTGGAAGCAAGCAACTGAGATGTCCTTCTGTGAATGGGTGGATAAATAAACTGTGGTACATCCAGACAATGAATATTATTCAGTGTTAAAAACTCATGAAAAGACATAGAGAAATTTTAAGTGTGTGGTGAAGAAAGAAGCGATAAAAGCCAGTCTTAAAAGACTCCATAATATGTGATCCCAACTTTGACATTCTAAAAAAAACCCCAAAACTATGGGGATGGTATAAAGATCAATGGTTACCAGGGGTTGGGAGAAAGGACAGTTGAACAGGTAGAGCACAGGTTTTAGAGCAGTGAAACTGTTCTGTAAGATAGAGTTATGGCAGACACATGTCATTATATGTTTGTCAAAACCCAGTGAATTTACAAGAGTAATAGTGAAGCTTAATATAAAGGATGAACTTTGGGTTGTAATGATGTGTCAATGTTGGTTCATTAATTGTAACAAATGTTACAGTGATGGTTCTTGATAGCGGAAGTGGCTGTGAGTTTGTAGAGGCTGGGTATGTAAGGAAACTCTGTACCTTCTACTACATTCTTGCTGTGAACTTAGAACTGCTCTAAAAAAAAAGTCTATTAAAAACATTTTAAAAAAAGATAGCAATTTGTGTTTCAGTTAGCTTCTTGCTGTGTATCAAACTACCGTAATCTTAGTGGCTTAAAACATTGTTTTAGTAAATAATCATGACAAAGCATTCTGGAAATATAAGTAAAATGAGCAAGGAAGCCAAGATAATGACTAATTGATGCACACTATTAAAACCAAAAAGTGAAATCTAATTAGGACTGCCAAACTCACCCTTCCTTGATTGCACTGAGTGGCTTGCTTTTTGGTGTGTTTTTTTTTTTCCTTCCATGAAGCTGATGGCTCTTGTAGCTGAAGGCTGCACTGCTGAGTGCTGTAATATAACCTTCACTGGCTCATAGAGTGCTGTAATATAACCTTCACACTCATAGATAACATTTATAAATTACTATAGTAGCAGTTGCTTCAGTTGTTTTCAGGAGCTTGAGGTAGCATCAGTCCTGTTGAAACTGGTTGAGGCCCTCAACCCTTCAATAGAACTTGTGCAAATATGAGAGAGATTTTTTTCTTGATGTCAGAGGGCCAAAAACTCCACTCTCACATCATGCTAACACCAACAAGTTCTAAACATATGTTCTGTGAAATGGCATGAATCCCTACTATGCTTGCAATAGATCACTGATGATTTGATTTCTGTCTACTACCAATCACGTTTTTTTTCCCACACAATAGACCACACACTTCTAACCCATAAATATCTCTAAGCCTTATTTTGGGGGAGGCAGATTTTTAAAACATGTGTCTATTTAGGGGGTACAAGTCAGGTTTCTTACATGCATACGTTGTGTATTGGTGTAGTCTGAGCTTTTAGTGTACCTATCAGCCGAATAGTGAACATCGTCTCCAATAGGTATTTTTCAACCCTCACCTGCCTTCTACCCTTTTTGAGACCTGTTCTGCCTCCTCACTTGGCTGCTTTGTGAATAAACTCTTCCTTTTTTGCAAGACTCATTGTCTCATTGATTGGCTTGTTGCATGTGGGTAGAAGAGACCTGGTTCTATAACACTATGAAGAGATAATCAAATGTTTACATGTGAACCAATAAAATATACATTGTCCACTTAACTTTCCCTAGGTTTCTAGATATACAATCAGAAATGCTCTGACTTTTAACAAAGTCATTCACAAATAGGCTTTTATTTCAAAAGCAATAAAAGAAATTTTGTACTTTCTTGGATTTCCAATACCCTATATATGTTCTGGTGATTATAGTGATTAAAACAGTTTGCCTAATACTTAGATTGTGCTTGCTTTACTAGTTATTAGGTATGAAGATTTGGGTAGATTATCCAATAATTCTATGTTTCTGTAGCCACACTATAAAAGGGAGAAAGTAGTGAATAAACTACATCATAGAATTGTGGGAATCAAATGATATAATGAATGCAAAGTTGTGCTTATCACACTGCCTAGGTCTTGGTAAGTTCATCATAAAAATAAGCTCTTGTACTAATTAAGAATGAACATACTCTGCTGTTGTCATTTTATTCTTTTCTCTTTTAAAATTAAAGAAATTATTTCTGTTAAAATACAGACTTTATTCGCAGTAGATAGTAATTCTTCCATTGCAGAGTTTTGATTTCCACATATCTCAGAAATGTACTATTCAAAAAAAAAGTATTTCAAACTTTTCAATCATATATAGATTTCTGATAGCAATAGTTGGATTATTATGTGGGATGCCATTTTATTTTTTCCTGTAGCAATTTTTCTTCCTCAAAGGGAGGAAAAATACTGTTAACAATGCTGCCAAATTGCCTCTTGATACTTGATTTATATTCATCATAGGAAACTATTCAGACTATACTTTTAAAGCTATTTGCAAAAAGCCAATAAGTCCTCCCTAAGAATTTAATGTTATAGTCCCAAAACACATTGTAGGTAATTAAAAATAATCTTTGTATTTTAGGGCAATTTTTGATTTACAGAAATATTAAGCAGGTAATACAGATAGTTTCCAATACTCCACATCCTGTTTCACTTTTCAAGGGTTATGTTACATTAGTATAGTACAAGTGACTCAATATTGATTGGTACATTATTAGCTACAATCTGTTACTTTTTCAGATTTTCTTAGTTTTCACCTAACGTCTGTTTTATGTCAGCGTTCAATTCAGGATATCACATTATATTTTGTCATGACTCCTTAGGCTTCTTGTGACTATGAGAATTTCTCATTTTCCTTTTTTTTCCCACAGCCTTGACAGTTTTAAGGAGCATTTATCACATGTTTTATAAAATGCCTTTCAGTATGGACTTGTGTATTTCTCCTGATTATACTCGACATCTGTTTTTGAGAGGAAAACAATATAAATTGCCATTCTCATCGCATCATATTAAAAACATATAATATCAATATGACTTATCACTGTTGGTGCTGACTTTGATCACTTGGCTGAGGTAGTATTTGTCAGGTTTCTCCATTATAAAATTACTCTTCCCCCTAATCCCTTTTCATTCAGTACTCTTTGGACAAGAGTCATCATGTTCAGTCAACTTGAAAAAGGGTAGGAAGTTGCGCTCCACTTCCTTGATAACTGAATGTCTACATAGATTCTTTTAAAAATTTTGCACAGGAGATTGGTCTATTCTGTCCCATGTAGTCTATAATTTACTTATGTCAGTATAAATTATGAATATTCATTTTACACTTTGACTTGGAATTTAATGCTACTGTATTTTATTGATCAAAATGTTCCAGAGACAGCCTTTGAAATAACCCAATATTTGTATGTGTATATATGTGTGTCTTCTCCTCAAGCACTTACTTACTTTGCAGCATTACAAAATGCTCCAATCTCGTCATGCATATTTCATGCTCCAATCCTAGAATCAATCATTTCTTCAATGATTCATTTTATTTGAAAATTGTAGTAGAAATCAAAAGCTGGGTTCAAGTCACTAAGCAATTTTATTCTATTGAAATATTTATATATAATATGTAATAAAGAGAAGTCTCAAATTGCATTTTTTTCTCATTTTTTAATTAATAGACTTTATAATTGAGTAAAGTTTTAGATTTATAGAAAAATTGCAAAGATAGTACAGAGAGCTCCCATATCACTTCAAATCCTGCATACCATTTCCCTTGTTGTTAACATCTTGCAGTAGTACAGTATATTGGGTATAATTAATGAAACAATATTAACATATTACTGTTACTTTAAGTCTATAGTTAATTCAGATATCCTAATTTTTTTTATATAATGCTTTTTTTCTATTCCACTTAACATATAATCTACTTTCAACAAATTTTTAGGTGCACAATACTGTTAACTAGAGGCTCATTGTTGGAAAGCAGATCTCTAGAATTTATTCATCTCACATAATTGAACTTTATACTTGTTGAACACCAACTCCCCACTTTCCCCCTCTCCTGCTTTCCTAGAAATCACCATTCTACTCTGTTTCTGTGAGTTTGATGATTTTATTTACCTCACATAAGTGGAATCATAAGCTGTTTGTCCTTCTGTGACTAGGTTATTTCACTTAGCATAATGTCTTTTATGTTCATCCATGTTGTTCCATATGGCAGGATTTCCTTTTTCTTAAGAAGATGGATAGTATTTTATTGTATGCTTTTACTACACTGTCTTTATCCTTTCATTAATTAATGTGCATACAGGTGTTGCCATATCTGGACTGTTGTAAAAAGTGCTAGAGTGAACATGGGAGTGCAGATATCTTCGGGACCCTGAGGTTAATTTTTTGGATATAGACCCAGAAGTGGAATTGCTGGATCTTAAGTATGCATTTTAAGGAACAATAAAAAAGAATAATCTAAGCCCAATGTTAGCAGAAGCAAGGATGTAAAGATTAGAACAGGTGTAAATGAAATAGAGAATAGAAAAACAATAGAAAAAATTAACAAGACTGAGTTGGGTTCTAGAAAAGATAAACATAGCTGACAAATCTTTAGCTAGACTAAGAAAAAGAGAAGACTTAAATCAGAAATGAGAGAAGAGACATTACAACTAAGGTCACAGAAACTTATGAAAAAGGGATTTAAGAAATTACTATTTTCTTACATTTATTTATTTATTTATTTCTCACAACAACACTGTGAGGTAATTATTCCTCCCTCATTTTACATGTAAGGGAATCGATTCTTAATGAGATTAAGTAGCTCAAACACATATATGTGTATCATATGTTATTACATGTAACATATAATAACTTATGTTATATGTTATATAATACACATATATTTCAAAGACAGAGTGTGTATGTATATATATATGGCAGCACACAGATGTTTATAGCTATATATACACACACCATGGAAAACTACTCAGCCACTAAAAGGGATGAAATAATGACATTTCCAGCAACCTGGATGGAGTCGAAGATTGTTATTCTAAGTGAAGTAACTCAGGAATGGTAAACCAAATATCACATGTTCTCACTTGTTAGCAGGAGCTAAGATATGAGAACACAAACTCATAAGAATGAAGTAATGGATTATAGGGACTCAGGAGGAAGGGTGGTGGGAGGTGAGGGATAAATGACTACACATTGGGTACAGTGTACACTCCTTGATTGACAGATGCACCAAAATCTTAGGAATTTCCACTAAAGTATTTATTCGTGTAACAAACACCACCTGTTCCCTCAAACTATAGAAATAAAATTAAAAATAAATTAGAAAATAAAAATCATATTATTTCAAAAATGGAGAAAACATATTTGATAAAATGCACTATACATTTATAATATTTAGCAAACCAGGGATAGAAGGAAATTTTATTTACCAATAAAGAACATCTATACTAAAACAACAAACAACAAAAGCCCAGGGTTTGCCTTACAATAATTACATAAGAACATGGTGATTGTGGAACTCAAACATCATTATTTTTCAAAATCTGTTAGTTGACTAAATTTTTGCCAGGTTGAGAACCACTGCTCAAGAGGTACTTAATAAATAATTATTGTATCAAAAAAAGATAACCTGATAAAGCAATCTAATTTACATTAGCATAAAAAAGAATAAAATACTCAGAAATAAACTTGACTAAGTAGGAAACAGACTTGTACCTGGAAAATCATAAAACATTGATGGAGGAAATTAACAAAAAAATATAGAAAAGCATTCCATGTTCATAGATTGAAGATTTAAGTTGTTTTAGTTAATATGGACATTTTAACAATTGACAAATGCAGTGCAATCCCTATTTAAACTCCCAAGGTATTTTTTTACAGAAATAGAAAAAGAATTCTAAAATTTATATGGAACCAAACTGGACCCCCAGTTGCCAAAAACAATCTTGAGAAAGAAGAATAAAGGTGGAAGTTAAATCACACGTTCTGATTTCAGAATATATCATAAAGCTAGAACAATTACAACAGTATTTTACTGGCATAAAGACAGATGTACAGACCAATGGAACAAAAGAGACAGTCCAGAAATAAATCTAGGTATATGCAGTCATTGACTTTCACAAGGGTGCCAGGAATACACAATGAGGAAAGGATAGTCTCTTTAATATATTATTTTTGGAAAAGTGGATACCAACATGCAAAAGATATGAATTTGGACCTTTACACTATACACAAAAAATCAACTCAAAGTGAATTAAAGACTTAAAAATAAGTCTTGAAACTATAAAACTTATTAAAGAAAACATGGAAAAATCATAACATTGGTTTTGAAAATGATTTTTTGAATATGACAGCAAAAGCACTAGTAACAAAGCAAAAATAGACAAGTGGGACTATATCAAAACAAAATACTTCTGCATGGCAAAGGAAATGATAGAAGATACAGTGTATAGAATGAGAGAAAATATTTGTAAGTCATTTATTAGATAAGGGGTCAATTTCTAAAATAAGCTAAGAACTTCTAAATCAATAGCAAAAACAAAACAAAACAAACATACAATTACCTGTTTAAAAATGGGCAAATGATTTGAATAGCTATTTCTCCAAAGAAGGTGTACAAATAACAGATAAATGAAAAGGTGCTCAATATCACCAATCACCAGAGAAGTGCAAATCAGAATTACAATGACATATCTGCTCACACTTGTTAGGATAACTATTACCAAAAAAAAAAAAGATAATGAGCATCGATGAAGATGTGGAAAATTGGAACCCTTTTACATTGTTAATAGAGATACAAAATGGGGCAGAGGATATGGAAAACAAAGGAGGCGCCTCAAAAATCTAAAAATAGAATTGCTGTTTGTTCTAGCAGTCATACCTCAAAGTGTTTATCAAAATATTGACACCAAGATCTCAAATAAATATTAGTATCCGATGTTCATTGCAGCAACACTCACAATAGCAAAGATGTAGAAATAACTTAGATGTCCATCAATGGAATGGATAAAGAAAATGTTGTATAAACATACAATGGAATATTATTCAGCTCCATGAAAGAAGGAAACTCTACAATACGCCATGATGTGGACGAACCTTGAGAACTTTATGCTAAGAGAAATAAGCTAGTAACAGAAAGATAAATACTTTATGATTCCACTTAAATCAGCTATCTAAAGTATTCAAACTCATGGAAACAAAGAGTAGAATGTTGGTCACCAAAGGATGGGTGGAGCGGGGAGGAAATTGCTAATCATAGGGCATAAAGTTTCAATTGTGCAAGATGAATAGATTCTAGACATCTGCTTTACAACATTGTGCCTAGAGTTAATAATACTGAATTGCAAGCTTAAAAATTTGTTAAGAGAACAGATCTCATGTTAAGTGTGGTAAGACACTTAACATTACCATATTACATTAAAATAAAATGTAAAAAAAAAATTTTAAATATAACTAGATCCAAATGCTTTGCTTCAGAAAGAACGTGCCATTGTAAAGTATCATCACCAGATAGTGATTTTAAAATTGTTTTAATAAATGTAAGTTATAAATATTACATGATTTTAAATATGTGAAAAATAATTTTAAATATTTTAGTATTTTAAATATTAAATTATTTTCTCCTCCTTTCACAAATTATTCTAAAATTCTCTCAAGCTTGTGAGCACTGATGCTTGTCTAAGTGGCTTATCTGATGAGGTGACCTGGACCTACATTCCTGATGTTTATGAGCAGCTAGTCACCTTGCCTTTCGCAGTTTATGGCTTATTCACCTCTTATGAAATTTGGATTGGTGGTCTGAAGAGTTGCTCAAGTAATTGTCAGGTTGCAATCATATTATTATCTACCCCATTTTTAATAGAAGCACTACTTTATCCAGATCTTTTTTTGTTCGTTTTTCTGGGCTCTTGGCACAAGAAGTTTAAAGTGACTAAGCTACAGCCATAGTTTGACATTTAATGGGACCCTTTCAGTGTCTCTTGGAAGCATTTTCCTTATACTGTATGAGCCGATGAGAAACAGGACTTCAAACTGACGAAACCTAAATATGGGTGAACAGGAAAAGCAAATCCTCCAAATAGGTCAATGGTAATCATGGAAAGTGAGGTGACTCCTAATTTATTTACTGGTTTAACAACAGTGTTTTTTAATTATTGGGGTTACAAATCCATATTTGAGTCATTGATTTACAGAAGCCTCCTTTCAGGTATCCTATATAAGCTGACACCACAGCCATACGTTCAACAGGTGATTATATAGTTCTATCAGCTTGGCAATTTCTGGTTAATGAGACATTAAGAGGAATGGTGACTTATTGGGCCAATTTCATACCTTCTTTGCTGCAAGTATATCTCTAATTTTATGGGAGAAACATTCCTAAAACCCTTGGATAGTGTAATAAGACATCTATAGGTGAGAGAAACACACTGAAATCCAAAATGTGTGTCTACTGCTGTTAAAATAAATGACTACCCTTTCCGGGGAGAAAAGTGTCCATTAAAGTGCACTTGCTGCCAAGTGTGTGGTTGGTCTTCAGAAGAATATTGCCATATCAAGGACTCAGAATTGATTGTCATTAACATTATGTTGAACATTTCCCTGGAGGAGAAAGTAGATCAGCCTTAGCTAGTGTGACTCCAAGCTATTGGATCCATTGATCACTTCCATTCCTGTCACTATAGGGACACTCTTCATGTGCCAATTATGCTTGTACTATGATGCTGAGGTGAGCAGATGGCTGATGTCAAGTGGCCCAGTTGTTTTTGTCTCCTTGGTGGTTCATTCCTTATTCTGCAGTGGATAAACTGACTAGCATTAACACAGGACATACAAACACATATTTATGTTTCATGCCCACTCCCACAGATTCAGCTTCATGCTTCCCTTTCCTTCAACCCAGACGTCTTTGTCTTTGATATTTCAATTATTCTCCTTCCAGGCCTCCGACCAGTGAGCCAAGTCATGTACCTATTCTAATTCCAGGCCCCCTCATTTTTCACATTAAATGGATAAGTGCATGCATTGCTTGAAGAAATGCCAAACGGAAGGATTTTTCCTTCAGCGATCATTTCAGGACCACCCCTGAGTGAGGCTGTAGTGCAACCACAACCCATGTACCCAGTTATACCCAGCTATTATTCCAACCTATCTGTGAACAAAACCTGGCATTTTTTGCTCCTTGATTAGCTGATGATAAAAAACTTTCCACATGGTCATATTTGAGAGCTGGAGAACAGGTACTGGTGTAACATTATTAGATCACATGGAGATCTGGAGGTACCTCCTTGTTCTTATTCCTGGATATATTACTTATACCTTACAACTCAGTGATGCTGGGACTGGCCAGCCTTAAGACATAGTGGGTCTGGCAGAACCCAGCTTATAGTAGGCAGTTTCAGTCACACTGTCACTTGATTTCTCCATCTCTACCAGGACCCAATAGCTCACAAAATACTGCTCTTTGAAAAATGTTTAACTCTTTGATACAAATATCACAGACTAGCTACAGGATTATAGGTATTTATGTTTTGATACTCTGATTGGACTTGTCTTGAACTCCAGAGTAGTTTCTTATTTGTTTGCTTATTAGTTTATTTTTACAACAGATACCATAAGTTTGTAAACCAATATGGCCCAGGTGGCGACAGTGTTTGTACCACAGCCCAGACCTGCAGCCAAATCTTTTACTGTTTTGGTCCCCATTTAAATCTGACAGGCTTAAAAAAGAATTACTCTGTATATGGATCAGATTAACATTCCCACTAATATTCTACCTTAAGTATGTAAAGAAATCTGCGAGATTGCTATGATTTGAATATGTCCCTGAAAATTTCATGTGTTGGAAACTTAATCCCTAATGCAACAGTGTTTAGAGGTAGGTCCAAATAAAAGATACTTGGGTCATGAGGGCACAGCCCTCATGAATGGATTAATATTGTTATTGCAAGAGTAAGTTATAAAATGTCTGGTCCCTCTCTTTGTCTTGCACTCTTGCACACACTCCTCCACCTTCGACCATGGGGATGACTCTTGTCAGATGACAGTACCATGCTCTTGGACTTCCCAGCCTTTAGAACCATGAACCAAACAAAGCTCTGTTCTTTATAAATTACCCAGAGTGTGATATCCTGTTATACCACAGAAAATGAACTAAGACAAAGATACTGTGCTCCCTTCTCAATAGTGAGGGTTGTGAGATTCAATATTTTATGTATTCCCATGAAGAGGGTATACCAGCATGTCTGAAAAAACTCTACTCCTAAATATGTCACTAACATGGTGGGGCAATGAATTTTTGTAAGGTTTGTCTTTCACCTTCTGAAATGCCTGTGTCTTACCAAGGTTTCTGATATGGTTTGGCAGTGTCGCCACCCAAATCTCATCTTGAATTGCAGCTCCCATAATTCCCACATGCTGTGGGAAGGACCCAGTGGGAGGTAACTGAATCATGGTGGTGGGTCCCTCCTGTGCTGTTCTCATGATAGTGAATAAGTCTTATGAGATCTGCTGGTTTTATAAAGGGGAGTTCCTCTGCACACACTCTCTTGCCTGCCACCGTGTAAAATGTGATTTTGCTCCTCCTTCACTTTCCACTATGATTGTGAGGCCTCCCCAGCCATGTGGAACTGTGAGTCAATTAAACCTCTTTCCTTTATAAATTACCCAGTCTCAGGCATATCTTTATCAGCAGTGTGAGAACAGACTAATACAGTAAATTGGTACCAGGTAGTGAGGCACTGCTGTAAAGATACCCAAAAAATGTGGAAGCGACTTCTTTGGAACTGAGTAACAAGCAGAGGTTGGAACAGTTTGGAGGGCTCAGAAGACAGGAAGATGTGGGAAAGTTTGGAACTTCCTAGAGACTTGTTGAATGGCTTTGGCCAAAAAGCTGATAGTAATATGGACAATAAAGTCCAGGCTGAGGTGGCCTCAGATGGAGATAAGGAACTTGTTGAGAACTGAAGGAAAGGTGACTCTTGTTATGCTTTAGCAAAGAGACTGGTGGAATTTTGCCCCTGCCCTAGAGATCTATGGAACTTTGAACTTGAGAGAGATGATTTAGGGTATCTGGCAGAAAAAATTTCTAAGCAGCAAAGCATTCAAGATGTGATTTGGGTGCTGTTACAAGCATTCAGTTTTATGTATTCACAAAGATATGGTTTGGAATTGGAACTTATGTTTAAAAGGGAGCCAGAGCATAAACATTTGGAAAATTTACAGCTTGATGATGTGATAGAGAAACAAAACCCATTTTCTGACAAGAAATTCAAGTTGGCTATAGAAATTTGCATGAGTAATGAGGAACCAAATGTTAATCCCCATGACAATAGGGAAAATGTCTCCAGGGTGTGTCAGAAGTCTTCATGGCGGCCCTTCCCATCACAGACCCAGAGGCCTAGGAGGAGAAAATGGTTTTGTGGGCCGAACCCAGGGCCTTGCTGCTTTGGGCAGTCTCAGGACTTGGTGGCCTGCATCCCAGCCATGGCTAAAAGGGGCAAATGTACAGCTCAGGCACCCTTCGGAGGGTGCAAGCCCAAAGCCTTGGTGGCTTACACATGATGTTGGACCTGCAGGTGCACAGAAGTCAAAAATTGAGGTTTGGGAACCTCCACCTTGATTTCAGAGCATGTATGGAAATGCCTGAATGTCCAGGCAGAGATGTGCTGCAGGGGTAGAGCCCTCATGGAGAACCTCTACTAGGGCAGTGTGGAAGGGAAATGTTGGTAAGAGCCCCCACACAGAGTCCTCACTGGGGCACTGCCTAGAGGAACTATGAGAAGAGGGTCACCATCTTCCAGACCCACAATGGTAGATCCACTGACAGCTTGCACTGTGCACCTGGAAAAGCTGCAGACACTCAACATCAGCCTGTGAAAGTAGCCAGGAGGGGGTGCTGTACCCTGCAAAGCCACAGGGTTGAAACTGTCCAAGGCCATGGGAACCCACCTCTTGCACCACTGTCACCTGAATGTGAGACATGAAGTCAAAGGAGATTATTTCAGAGCTTTAAGATTCAATTGCTGCCTTGTGGGATTTCAGACTGACATGGGGCCTGTGGCCCCTTTGTTTTAGCCAACTTCTCCCATTTGGAATGGCTGTATTTACCCAATGCCTGTACCCTAATTTTATTAGGAAGTAACTAACTTGCTTTTTGATTTTACAGACTCATAGGCAGGAGGGACTCGCGTGGTCTCAGGTAAGACTTTGGACTTAGACTTTTGAGTTAATGCTGAAGACTTTGAGGGATTGTTGGGAAGGCATAATTAGTTTTGAGATGTGAGGACATGAGATTTTAGAGGTGCCAGGGGCAGAATGATAGGGTTTGGCTGTGTCCCCACCCAAATCTCATCTTGAATTGTAGCTCCCATGATTTCCACATGTCATGGAAGGGACCGGGTGGGAAGTAATTGAATCATGGGGCAGGTCATTCCTGTGCTGTTCTCGTGATAGTGAATGAGTCTCATGAGATCTAATGGTTTTATAAAGGGGAGTTTCCTATACATGCTCTCTTGCCTGCCACCATGTAAAACAAGACTTATCTCCTCTTTCATTTTCTGCTGTGATTGTGAGGTCTCCCCAGGCATGTAAAACTGAGTCAATTAAACCTCTTTCCTTTATAAATTACCCAGTCTTGGTATGTCTTTATTAGCAGCATGAGAACAGACTAATATAGCTTCCAATATTTTTTCATTTATTGCCAATGTGATTTGATTACCATGATGTTATACTTTTATTGAACTGGCTTTAGTATTGTGTTACATGGCCAGAGGGTCCAGATCCTTTTAGTTCCCATTGTTACAGAGGTTGAAAAGGTAACAAAGGCCTAGGAAATTACTATCAATGTATACTTTTATCCATTGCAAGTGAATGCAAACTGTTTCTTTTTAAATTTATGGTAACAATGGGACAGCATTTCCTAGGTCAGTAGCCACCTGTCATATAACAGAGGCAGTGTTCATATGTTTCAGCAAAGTTCTTGTATAAGCATATGCTGCTATAGGGTTTACTATGTGTGGAAGACCACTGTTATCCTCCAGGATCTGTCTGGCTTTTGTGAGAACTAGACTAGTGCATTAATAATATGATTAGGATCACTATCCCTACATTTTTCGGGTTTTAAAGTATATTGCTAAACTGCAGTTTTTTCCAGGATAGATTTTCTTTTTTTTTGCCATCTCTATCTGCAAAGTTTTCCAATTGAGTTTTCCCATCATCATATCTCTTACCTAACCAGTCAGGGAACCAAACAGCAAGAGATTATGACTGTTTATTAGGCTAGCTTTCCTCAACCATGTGATCATATAATCATCATTTCTTTTGCTTATATAGATTGAAAAATTCCGTTTTTTTCCAGATGTAATCTTGCCCATAGAGATCCCATGTTCTAGTAACCATCTCTAGAGTTCTATGTGGGTCAAATGTCCCTGATACCTATTCTAATCTTGATAGATTTATAATAATTGTATAGAGCTTTCTTCTTGTCATTAAACAATGCCACCTGGACTCTCCTATTTCTTGAATATCATCCTTTTAGTTATTCACCGAGCCCATTTCAATATGCTTTCTCCTAATTTTAGTTCTGACCTAGGCACCACTGAACTTCTTAATGTGCCGTTCTCACAAGCACCTTCCTTGTTGTTTGGTAAACAAAGTATTAGACAAGCCCTCTTGTGAATAATAGTCATCCATAGGTGGCATATCTATTCTACTATATACTTTTTGTGAATTTTTAATTAGTTTCTTCCACTGTCTCCCATGGTAACTCCTGCATCGTTACTTTACTTGATGGATCTTTGCTTTCTCCAAGCTTTTAAAAACCATCACAGCAGACTTTCAGTATTGTACCATTTCCTCATTCTATTCCTCTTATCTTATAGCCTCACTTTTCCCTCTATTTTTCATGTCTTTATGTGATTAATTATGAGAAAATTTTTTTATATCTTTCTTGAGATTTATAATTTTTTCTTCCATGGTGTTTGATTTAATGATGAAACTTTTTATTAAGTTTTGTTAAATTTCAAAAAATTAATTTTTATTTTTAGTTTATATTTTTAAACTGTATTCATTACTTTGATAGTATTTTACTGCTTGATGATTATTTTGTTCCATCTTTTATTTACTACAAATATGTATAATAAAATACAAATATATTTTGATTAAAGGGTAAACAGATTTTCAGAAGTTACTGTGAAACAGCAATGACTAAAAATTAACTTTTGTCCAGGCTTTTTGTTTTTTGTGGAAAGGCCCTTTGAGTATCTAGTTTCCAATTCTGCCAGAATTACAAAGCATTATTTTTTTTAGTTCTTTTTATTTGCATTGATTCTATAGGTGAAAAAAATTTTTATGTTGATTAATTCACATTGTTGTCACTTCTAGTGAGGCAGTACTTTCCCCATGTATTTATTGACCATTTTCACTTCATCTTCTGTTGGTTGTCTATGTAGGTCTTATATCATTTCAAAAATGAATTGTTTCTCTTTCCCTCATCAATTTCTAGACACGTTTTTCTGCATTCATAATATGAGTTTCCCTTCTCATATGCATAAATTTTTTCTCAACCATTATTTATTTATTGCTTTTGTATATGATGTCTATTAAAAAAGAAAATATGGATAGCCAGATATATATTTAGAAACTTTTCCAGAAATAGGGCATACATTCTCCTATGGTACAGCTAAAACCCTTATGGGCTTTCTACTGTTCTGAGAGTTCTCCAGCCTCCCCTTCCATCCCACACACGCACTGATTGTCCAGTGGGTAGGGATAAGTCAAAGCGCAGACCATTTCCCCAAGGACACTTTGAATATTTCCCTGCAAATCTTTTACTTCCCCTATTCTGGAGAATTTTGTTCAGCCAGAAAATGAGATATACTGTCTATTCATCTATGTTTTGAAATCTATTTCTTGTTCCCTGGCTGAGTCTTTCAGAACTTACGCTTTTGAAATACAGGAGGAAATTGTTGTCTTTATTGATTTCTATATTTGGTTCTTTCATTCTCTTAAAAAAATAGCAGTAAAGATAAAACATCCATACTATTTCTTGAATGGGGAACTAATGGTGTGACATGAAGTGTGTACATGGGAAAGACATATCAAAATCCATCAAAATAGAATTATAATTAATATGAAATAATATAACAGATATTATATAATGGGATATAATGCAATTTAATATATGCAGATACCAAAAATGTTTTAAAAATCGCAACCATTTTTAATAAAATATCGAACTAAGTCTAAGGCCAAGAGAAAACTTTGTAGAAAATAATGACCTGTATCGAACTATTAAAATGAAAAATAGGCAAGTATTTTACTATTTCCATTGATATTTAACATTGTTTAGGAAGTTCTAGATTCTATAATTGAAAGAATATACAAAAATTGAAAAAAGGAGGCAAACATAGTTCCATGTTTATATATCTAAAAACACCTGAAGAGACAATTTAATTCATGATAGAGAATGACTTCCCTTTCCATCTAACCATATGCTAATTAGTGAGTTATGTTTCATGAAACTCTCTACTTCCAAACATTTGCATATCTGTTACCCTCTTTTTAAGTGTTGTCTTATTGCTTCTCTTCCTTGTCTTTATTCTACTACTTCATAGATGCAATAATTATCAAAGTGTCTTTCCTTAGGCTTCTTTTTTTCACTTGCTACCATATCCCCACAAGAATCACATTCTGTCTCTAAGTTAAGTTTTTCCTCTTTCATAGGAATAAAACTCATGTACCCACCAAGACCTCACTGAGAACTCTAGATCCACCAATATATTTCTAGAGGAAGTAAGCCTAAAAGGAAAAATACTAGAATATGGTAGCCACCACAGTAAAAAAAAAAAGTAAACAGCAAACTTTACAGAAAATGATTACTTGTAAGTACTTCTCTTAAAATAAAAAGCAAGGCAAGTGGCTATTTAATGATGTTTGAACATCTCTAGATAAGAAGAAAATATAAATAGAAAAATTAGTACAATAGCCTGGAGGACATCCTTCACGCTGGCGGACTTCCCTGTGTGATAAGCACCTTAACCTCAACAGTAACAAGACTGCATACCTCCTGCTTTCCGAAAAACTTACCTCTGCTCATTGCTCTGACTGCCCTCATTCAAATAAGATCATTCTAGTCATTCAGGTTTGAAATCATCTTTGAATTCCTCTCCCTTTTCACATCCTTTTTATTCTATCTCTGTGATATTGCAAAACTTGCTGCCCTTCTCACCATTCCACTGACATTTTCTTATTTCAGATTCTCTTTACCTTATACTTTTTAAAACAAATTCAAATGTCTAAGGCATTCTGAACATACTTTGCCACATTTATCTTATTGCTGTATTTATCTTTTAAAAAGTGATATAGTTTGGATATTTGTCCCCTCCAAATTTCATGTTGAAATCTGATCCCCACTGTTGGAGGTAAGGCCTAGTGGGAGGTTTAAATCATGGGGTTATTATGAATGGCTTAGGATCATCACCTTGATGATGAGTGAGTTCTTACTCTGTTAGTTCACGTGTTAGTTCATCTGTTAGTACTTACTCTGTTAGTTCATGCTTGTTGATGAAAGAGTTCTTACTCTGTCAGTTTATTCATCTTTAAACAAATGACTCCTATTTAAAGGAGTCTGGCACCTCCTCCTCTCCCTTGCTTACTCTCTCATGCTGTGACATATTGGGTCTCTTTTTGCTTTCTACCATAGTTGTAAGTTTCTTGAGGCCCTCACCAAAGCAGATGCCTGCACTATGCTTCTGGTACAGTCCACAGAACCATGAGCCAAAATAAACCTCTTTTCTTCATAAATAACCCAGTCTCAGGTATTTATGGTAACACAAATGGGCTAATACAAAATGTTGCATTAATAACATCTGCCACAATAAAGAAGGAAAACAAAACCTGAAATGGATATCTATCACCTCCTAAAAACTTAGCCTGCCAATTTAGGTCAAAACAGAGGTCAGTCCATCCTTACACCTTGCTACTCCTTTTCTCACACTCCAAGTTCTAAAGATGTTGAGCTTCTTGTAGTTCTCCCAAATCCTCTTCATTTCTCAACTCTGAGAGTTGATTTACAAGCACCCTCCATCTCTAATCTCTTTCTTCTTCATCATTTCATGTTAAAACTCACCCATTATTTAAGGTACAGTTTAAATGCCATCTCCTTAATGTAACACTCCAGCAGAAACAATCATTCCTTTCTCTGAACTCCATTACATTTTATCTTCGCAATTCCTATGGCATTCATTTTCTCAATTTTACATCACAGTGATTTCCACCATTCTTTCCTTACCTGATTTGAACTTAAAGTTTGAAACCAGAACTGTGACTTGAACTTTTTTTTTGTCTCCATATTATTAAGTAGAGTGCTTTCAGGGAGCAGATAATGATTACTTATTTAAAAATTGAATACGTTATATGAAATTGACCAGTTAAGATTAAATTCACCCATTGGCTAAATTTCTACAAAATAGACTTGGTAGAAATAGGTTTAAGTGCTTATGGTTTAAATAAAAGACTATTTTTTGGCTTATGTTTGAGTTTTTAGCTGTGAGTTTTATTGATACTTTTGGATGAAACTCCATTAGGCAGTCAAATGCACCTTTGGAAGCTTTTGGAGACAGAAATTTTCTGAGACTTGCTTTTTAACGATGAATGTAGCACTTAAGGTTTTTAAAATAAAGAGAAACAAAGAAAATGAACTCCTGGGGACATGTCCAGGGAATTGTTCAGCATACCGTAATCCTCATTTTTTCCTACATTACAGTCAATCCATTAATGGGAACCCCTCTCCTTAGAACTTAGGTGAAAAAACTTGAAGCAGAAGGTACCACCTCATTTCCAAAAGTAGAAAAATGCAGGCTCTCCAACAAAGAAGCCCGTGTAAGGAGGACACACTAAAGTTTGATCTTTGATTTAAGAAAAAGTAAATCAGTATCTATAAAGATTAAGAAGAAAGCCATTTTTAGAAGTAATGTTTCTTCTAAAATAACATTTTTTTTCTTTTTTGGAATACTATTCTGACCAGGCACAAAAAATGGATCTCAAATACTCAAAATAAACAGACTATGAAGTGGGAGTTATTTTCATCATTTTATAAATGAGAACTTTGGCAGGTTGGGATTATTAGTTAGTGGTAATAGCTATAGTTACTGGTTATTATTATTATCTAACTATTTATACCTGTGGTAAACGTGTCAACTTTCTCCAGAGTTACAAAACCAATATACCATTCAGATATAGAGATGCAGATAGAGATGCAATAGCCTAACCAAGTTAACACATATAATTTACTATCATAGCAACCATACAATTTATGGTCAAAATTGGGAAATTTGGGAGATAAAAATATTCTTCATTAATAATTATGCCAAGACTTTAGGTATAAGCAGACAACTTCTTGGGTAAATCAGAACTAGTGGTCATTCTATTCATAGCTCAGACAAATAGTTTCCTTATCACCATACACATTCTAACTATCCACCTTTCAATTTTTACCTCAAAACTCAATATATTTTAGAGTGTTCTAGGATAATAAAGCAAGTAGTATTTACATTTTCTTCTGTTGTATACACTGAGTAAGCTAGAAGTTAATTTGTATTTTATTTTTCAAGGAATCAAATGATAAAGTAATTTTTCACTGTCACCATACACCTGTCAGAGAAGACTGTTGTAGAGACCTCTAAATAATATGGTTGTCCAGATAAATTTTCTGGTATTTATCTAGTTTTTTTTTCCATACACAATAAGTGTACATATTTATGGACTGCATGTGATGCTTTCATAGATTGCATACAGTGTGTAATGACTGAATCAGGGTAATTGGGATCCATCACTTCAAACATTATTTGTCTTGGGAAGATATCAGATCTTCTCTACTAGCCACTTTGACATATACAATAAGTTACTGTTAACTATACTTACACTACCATGCTGTTAAACACTACAATGTATTCTTGCTATCTAATTGCATTGTTGTACCCATTAAGCAACTTCTTTTCTTCCCCTCTTTCCTCCTACCCTTTCCAAACTCTGGTAACCCCCATTTTACTCTCTACATCTATGAGATTAACTTTTTCATCTTCCACATATGAGTTAAAAAATGCAATATTTGTCTCTCTATGCCTGCCTTATTTTACTTAACAGAGTGTCCTCCATTTCATTTATGTTGTTGGAAATGACAGGATTTTATTCTTTTGTGGCTTATTTTCCATTGTGTATCTGTATCCTATTTTCTTATTAGTTTGTTAACGAATACTTAGGTTCACTCCTTGGCTAAGGAGCCGTATCTTGGCTATTGTGAATAGTGCTGCAATAGATAGGGTAGCGCAGATATCTCTTTTATATATTGACTTCCTTTCTTTTGGAAATATACCCAACATTGGGATTTCTGGATCATAAAGTATTTCTGTTTTTAGATTTTAGATTTTGAGGAAACTCCATACCCTTTTCCATAATGGCTGTAATAATTTACATTTCCAGCAATGCTGTACAGGAGTTCTCTTTGATCCACATCCTCATTACCAAAAAGCTGGTAAAACTGATAAATAAATTCAATAATGTTGCAAGATACAAAATCAAATTGCAAAAATTAGTAACACTCTGGTATTTATTATTTAAAATTTTTTTAGATTATTTTTGTAATGTGTGCTCTACTATGACTAAATAAATATAATTCTACATTTTAAACAATATTCATTAATATTTACCTTTCTGATAAGATATTTGATTGCATGAATTGTTTTAACTTTTTACTTTTTGTTGTAAGAACACTTAACATGAGCTGTACCCTTTTAACAGATTTTTAAGTGTCTCATACAATATTATTAATTATAGACAAATTATTGTACAACAGATTTCAAGAAATTCATTTTGCATAATTGAATTAAATCTTTATACCTATTTGTTAGCAGCTCATTTTCCCTTCCTTCTGCTCCAGTAACAACCTATCTGCTTTCTCCTTCTATAAGTTTGACTACCTTAGATACCTCATCTAAGTAAATCAGGATTCCTTGTCCTCCTGTGACTAGCTTATTTTATTGAGTGTAATGTGCTCATGTTTTATCTATGTTGTTGTATATAGAAGGATTTTCTTTTTTTAAGGCTGAATAGAAGGATTTTCTTTTATTAAGGCTGAATAATATTATATGTGTATACTTAATTTTTTATTCATTTGTGTGTCAATTGATATTTAGGTGGTTTCCATATCTTGGCTATTGTAAATAGTGCTTCAATTAGCATTGGAGTGCAAATATCTTTTTGGGACTCTGAGGGCAATTCTTTTTTTTTTTATAAATACCCAGAAGTGGAATTGCTGGGTTACATGGTGGTTCTATTTTTAATTTTGAGAAACCTCCGTATGGTTTTCTGTAACAGATGTACTCTATTGCATTCCCACTAGTAGTGTACAAGGGTCTCAATTTCTCCACATCTTTTTTGACACCTGTCTTTTGATTTGTTGGTACTAGGGATTCTAACAGCTGCAAAGTGATAGCTTATTGTGTTTTTGACCTGTACTTCCCTAATTACTGGTGAGATTGAGCATCATTTCATATACTGCTTGGCCATTTGTGCATATTTTTTGAAGAAAAGTGTATTAAAATTTTTAGCCTGTTTTTTAACTTGGGTTGTTAATCTTTTTGCTATTGAGTTATACAAGTTATTTATGTGTTTGGAAATTAACTCTTTATCAGGTATATAGTATACAAATATTTTCTCCCATTCTGTAGGTTGCCTTTTCACTTTGTTAATTGTTTTATTTGCTGTGAAGAAGCCTTTTAGTTTGATGCAGTCCCCCTACTTTTGCTTATGTTGCCTGTGCTTTTAGTGTCTTATTCATAAAATTATTACCGAGGCCAATGTCATGAAGGTTTTTTCTGATGTTTTTATAATGTCTCTGATGTTTTCTTTAAAGAGCTTTACAGTTTCAGGTCTTATGTTTAAGTCCTTAATCCACTTTGAGTTGCTTTTATGTATGCTATAGGATAAGGGTAATTTTCTTCTTTTGCTTGTGGATATCCAGTTTTCCTGGCTCCATTTGTTGAAGTGACTATCCTTTCTTCAGAATGGATACTTGGCAACCTTGTTGAAGACCAGTTTACTATATATGTGTGGATTTATTTCTAGGCTCTCTATTCTGTTCCACTGGTCTGTATGTCTGTGTTTATGCCAGGACCATATTGCTTTGATTACTGTAGCTTTGTAATATATTTTAAAATCAGGAAATGTGATATCTCCAGCTTTGTTCTTCATTCTCAAGATTGTTTTGGCTATTGAGAATTCACTTGGATTCTACATTACATAAGTTTGAAAATTATATTATTTCTATTACAATAAACATGGATATTTTTAGTAAATATCCACTGAATATAGATCTTCTTAGACTTTCTACACTTCATGATTCAGTCTAGGAAGGTTGTATGTTTCTAGGAAGTTACCACATCTTCTAGGTAATCTAATTTTTTGACTTCTAGCACTCATATAGTTTCTAATGGTTCATTTTTTATTGCTATGGCATAAATTATAATATCTCCTCTTTCATATTTGATTTATTTAAGTCATCTCTTTTTTTTCTTAGTCTTGGTAATGGTTGGAAAATGTCTATTTTGTTTATGCTTTCAAGAACCAACTCCCTAATTTCACTGATACTGTTTTTCTATTTTCCATTTTATTTTTTTCTGTATTTTTCAGTATTCCTCTCCTTCTACTAACTTTGGATTTTTTTTTTATACTTTAAGTTTTAGGGTACATGTGCACAATGTGCAGGTTTGTTACATATGTATACATGTGCCATGCTGGTGTGCTGCACCCATTATCTCATCATTTAGCATTAGGTATATCTCCTAAAGCTATCCCTCCCCGCTCCTCCCACCCCACAACAGTCCCCAGAGTGTGATGTTCCCCTTCCTGTGTCCATGTGTTCTCATTGTTCAATTCCCACCTATGAGTGAGAATATGCGGTGTTTGGTTTTTTGTCCTTCAGGTAGTTTACTGAGAATGATGATTTCCAATTTCATCCATGTCCCTACGAAGGACATGAACTCATCATTTTTTATGGCTGCATAGTATTCCATGGTGTATATGTGCCACATTTTCTTAATCCAGTCTATCATTGTTGGACATTTGGGTTGGTTCCAAGTCTTTGCTATTGTGAATAGTGCCGCAATAAACATACGTGTGCATGTGTCTTCATAGCAGCATGATTTCTAGTCCTTTGGGTATATACCCAGTAATGGGATGGCTGGGTCAAATTGTATTTCTAGTTCTAGATCCTTGAGGAATCGCCACACTGACTTCCACAATGGTTGAACTAGTTTACAGTCCTACCAACAGTGTGAAAGTGTTCCTATTTCTCCACATCCTCTCCAGCACCTGTTGTTTCCTGAGTTTTTAATGATTGCCATTCTAACTGGTGTGAGATGGTATCTCATTGTGGTTTTGCTTTGCATTTCTCTGATGGCCAGTGATGGTGAGCATTTTTTCATGTGTTTTTTGGCTGCATAAATGTCTTCTTTTGAGAAGTGTCTGTTCATGTCCTTTGCCCACTTTTTGATGGGGTTGTTTTTTTCTTGTAAATTTGTTTGAGTTCATTGTAGATTCTGGATATTAGCCCTTTGTCAGATGAGTAGGTTGCGAAAATTTTCTCCCATTTTGTAGGTTGCCTGTTGACTGTGACGGTAGTTTCTTTTGCTGTGCAGAAGCTCTTTAGTTTAATTAGATCCCATTTGTCAATTTTGGCTTTTGTTGCCATTGCTTTTGGTGTTTTAGACATGAAGTCTTTGCCCATGCCTATGTCCTGAATGGTAATGCCTAGGTTTTCTTCTAGGGTTTTTATGGTTTTAGGTCTAACGTTTAAGTCTTTAATCCATCTTGAATTAATTTTTGTGTAAGGTGTTAGGAAGGGATCCAGTTTCAGCTTTCTACATATGGCTAGCCAGTTTTCCCAGCACCATTTATTAAATACGGAATCCTTTCACCAAAGTTGAAATGAAGGAAAAAATGTTAAGGGCAGCCAGAGAGAAAGGTCGGGTTACCCACAAAGGGAAGCCCATCAGACTAACAGCGGATCTCTCGGCAGAAACTCTACAAGCCAGAAGAGAGTGGGGGCCAATATTCAACTTTCTTAAAGAAAAGAATTTTCAACCCAGAATTTCATATCCAGCCAAACTAAGCTTCATAAGTGAAGGAGAAATAAAATACTCTACAGACAAGCAAATGCTGAGAGATTTTGTCACCACCAGGCCTGCCCTAAAAGAGCTCCTGAAGGAAGCACTAAACATGGAAAGGAACAACCGGTACCAGCCACTGCAAAATCATGCCAAATTGTAAAGACCATCCAGGCTAGGAAGAAACTGCATCAACTAACGAGCAAAATAACCAGCTAACATCATAATGACAGGATCAAATTCACACATAACAATATTAACTTTAAATGTAAATGGACTAAGTGCTCCAATTAAAAGACACAGACTGGCAAATTGGATAAAGAGTCAAGACCCATCAGTGTGCTGTATTCAGGAAACTTTGGATTTGTTTTTAAGCGGTTCTTTGAAGGATAAAGTTAGGTTGTTTAAAATCTTTCCTCTTTTTTAAACATAGGCCTGTATCACTATAAACTTCCCACTTAGTACTGTGTTTTCGATATCTCATAAGTTTGAGTATGTTGTCTTTTTATTTTCATTTGTCTCAAGATAGTTCCTAATTTTCTTTTTTTAAATTTTGTGACCCACTTGTTGCTCAATTATGTTTTGTTTTATTTTCACATGTTTGTGAATTTCCCAGGTTTTCTATTGCTTTGATTTTTAGTTTTATTGTATTGTGGTCAGAAAAGGCATTTGGTATCAATTACATCTTCTGGAATTTTTAAAGACATGTTTAGTTAAGACCTGTGATCTATCCTGGAGAATATTCTGTGCTTACTTGAGAAGAATGTATATTCTGTTGCTGTTGGATGTAGTGTTTTTTTTTTTTTTTTTTTAGGTCCATTAGGTCTATAATGTTGTTTGGTCTGCTGTTTCTTTATTGATTTTCCTGTCCAGATAGATGGTTTATTCATCATTGAAAATAGGGTATTTAAGTTTCATACTATTTTATTGCTATGTAATTCTCTATTCAGTTTTTTAATGTTGGCTTTGTATATTCAGGTCCTCTGATATTGGGTAAAAATATATTTATAATTATTATATCTAACTGGAAAATTGACCTTTTTATTATTATATAATGTCATTTGTCTTTTGTGACAGATTTTCACTTAAAATATATATATTTTTAAGTACAGCTAACGCTGCTGTCTGTTACAATTTGAACGGAATATCTTTTTTCATCCCTTCACTTCTATATGTCATTAAATTTAAAGTGAGTCTCTTGTTGATATAGTATAGCTCTGTGTCCCCACCCAAATCTCATGTTGAATTAGAATTCCCAACTTTGGGGGAGGGACCTGATGGGAGGTGATTGGACCATGGGGACAGATTTCCCCCTTGCTGTTCTCATGATAGTGGGTGAGTTCTCATGAGATCTGGTTGTTTAAATGTATAAAGCACTTCACTCTTTCTCTCTCTCTCCTGCTGTGCCATGGTAAGAAGTGCTTGCTTCCCCTTTGCCTTCTGTCGTGATTGTAAGTTTCCTGAGGCCTCCCAGCCATGATTTCTGTATGGTCTGCAGAACTGTGAGTCAATTAAACCTCTTTTCTTCATAAATTACCCAGTCTCAGGTAGTTCTTTATAGCAGTGTGAGAACAGTCTAATACACTTGTAGACAGCATATATTTGAATCTTGTTTTGTTTATGTTAAGCCACTCTTAGCTCCTTTGAAAGAGTTTAATCCATTTACATTTAAAGTAATTATTGATAGAAAAGGACTTAACTACTGCAATTTTGTTTATCATTTTCTGGGTGTTGTCTAATTTTTTGTACCTATTTCTCTTTTACTGTCTTTCTCTGTATTTTATTATTTTTTATTACTATGCAGTGATCCCTTTATCGTTTTTTATGTTGTCAGTCTTTTTCTTTGGATAGTTTTTGTGGTTACTATCGGACTTACATAAACCAACTTATAAGAGTCCGTTATAAGCTGATAAAAATTTTTTTCACATACCAAAATTCTACATTTCTACTTCCTCTCCCCTAACACTTTGTTATTGATGTTACTATTTGCAGCTTTTGTACTGTGCTTTCATTAACATATTTTATAGTTACATTTATTTATCTTTATGTTATGTTTATGTAGTCATGCCTTTGTATCTTTTATACTAGAATTAAAAATGATTTTCTCATCAACATTACAGTATTACACTATTGTGTATGTGCTTTGGTATTTACCTATACCAGTCATTTCATATTACTGTTTAGCATCAGTTTCTTTCAACTTGAAGAACTCTTTAGCTTTTCTCATAAGCCAGGACTACTGCTGTTGAACACCCTCAAAATTTGTTTCACAAGGAGTTTTTATTACTTACTTTTTTTTGAAGAAAATTTTGCCAGATATAGTATTTTTGTTTGACAGTTATTTATTTATATCTCATTAGAGTTTTGAAAATATCATCGCACTTCCTTCTGGCATGCATTGTTTCTACTGAGACATCTACTGATAGTCTTACAGATTTCCCTTATATGTGAAAATCACTTTTCACTTACTGCTTTCAAAATTCTCCTTTTGTCTTTGACTTTTGCCAATTTGATTATAAGTTTTCTAGGTATGGATTTTTTTTGGATTTTCCTTATTTGGGGCTTGGTAAGCTTCTAGACATGGATGTCCATTTTCTTCCTCAGATTTTGAAAGTTTTCATCTATCACATTTTTAATATTCTTTCCTCCCCTTTATCTCTCTCTTCTTTTGGGATTTCCATAAGGCAAGTATTTGTCTACTTGGAATTAAATTTGTGGTTTTTAAATATTTGTTTGAATTTTCAGTGTTTGCTGAGATAAATAACTCCATATTTTTAAAGACAAGGGAGTGGGTGTGTGATGAAAGATATAATGTAGGGATGGAAAGACTAGTTAGCAGTCTTTGGTGAATAATGGTCATAATAAAATGATTGTTGAAAATGATAATTTTGTGGAATATTTACAAGTGGTATATTTTTCTCATGCAAAAATCTCTGCAGGGCAAGGGCTGCATTGAGCAGAACAGAACTATAATTACTAACGTGATGGATAAATCAAAGCTTCTTGGGGCAAGTTTCTATGGCTGATAGTGACAACTTGTGCTTTGGATTTGGGTTGGGTTCCTTCTCCTTAAGTGAAGTGATCTGTGGGAGGCTGCATATTTTCTAAACATCTTTCTGATTGCATACTTGCTAAGGAATTTTATTCTCTTCTATGATAATTCTATATTTGCACTAATATAATTAGCTATTCTATGAATTACCTTACCCATCCCTTACAGTAAACTAGGAATAGAAGGTAACATCTTCAATGTGGTAAAAAATATTTACAAAAATACTATAGCTAACATTATGCTTAATGGCAAGAAACTATCATTAGAAACAAGGTAAGGATGTCTCCTCTCATCACTTCTTTTCAACATCATACTGGAAATCCTAGCTAATGGAATAAAATAAAATAAGATACTGACATGGAAAAAAGAAACAAAACTGTCTTTGTCCACAGATGACATAATTTTAATATAGAAAATCCAAAGAGTCAACAAAGGACATCTTGAAAGAAATAACCCTAGGGTAAATATACAAAAGTCACTTGCTTTTCCATATAGCAGCAATAAAAAAGTGGAATTTGAAATCAGAAAGCAAAATAATTTACATTAGCACCAAAAATTATCATACTTAAGTAAAAAATTTTTAAAAGTACAAGATTTTTATGAAGAAAACTAAAAAATGCTAATAAAAAATTAAAGAATAATAATATAAATGGAGAGTTTTCCATGCTCATGAATAGAAAGATTCAATACTATCAAGATGCAGTTCTTGCCCTATAGATTTAACACAATCACAATCACAATACTAAGGTTTGTTTTATTTATTTTTATTTTTGTTGATATTAACAACTTGATTTTAGGTTATACAGAGATAAAAAAGACTCAAAACATGTAACATAATTTTGAAGGAAAAAAAAGTTGGAAGACTGATACTATCCAAATTTAAAACTTATAATAAAGTTAGCACAGGACAAAAGAATATACAAATAGATTAATGAAACAAAATAGTCCCAAAATAGATCCATATGAATATAGTCAACTGATTTTTCACAACTAAGCAATGATAGTACAATGAAGAAAAGATAGTCTTTCCTACAAATAGTGCTGGAAATCTTTATGCAAAAAAAAAAAAACATGGAATCTGGATAAAGACTGTATTCTTCACACAAAAAAATAAGTCAAAATGGATTATAGAAGTAGACAAAAAATTCATTAAAATGAAAAATTTATCTCAGGAGAATGAAAGAACAAGCCCCAGATTGAGAAAACAATTGCAAAGTAACAACTCATTTAAGAACCTTTATCCAAAATAGACAAATAACTCGAGACTCATCAGTAAGAAAATGAACAACTTGATTAAAAAGTAGGCCAAGACCTTAACGGACACCTCACTAAAGAAGATAAACAGATGGAAAGTAAACATATGAAAAACATATGAAAAGATATTTTACATCATGTCATCATAGAAATATAAATTAAAATAATGAGATACCACCACACAATAATTAAAATGGACAAATCCAGAACCTTGACAACACTCTGACCATATGATTAAGCAATTATAGTTTTTGGTATTTACCAAAATGAGTTGAAAACTTTTGTCTACACAAAAACTGCACACAGGTATTTACAGCACCCTTATTCTTAATTGCCACAACTTGGAAGCAATCAAGATGGCTGAACTCAGCAATCAATATGAAGGACTCAGTAGGTTAGTGGATAAATAGATTGTTATACATTCAGACAATGGACTGTTGTTCAGCAATAAAAAGAGATAAAGTGTCAAGCCATGAAAAGGCATGGAAGAATCTTAAATGTATACTATTAATAAAAGAAGCCAGTCTTAAAACTATATATACTGTATGCTTCCAACTATATCACATTCTGCAAAAGGCAAAACTCTGGGGACAATAAAAAGATCGGTGACTGCCAGGAGTTAGGGGACAGGGAAGGATAAATAGGAAGAGCACAGAAGATGCTTAGGCTGGTGAAACTTCTGTATGATAGAGTTATAGGAGACACATGTGATTTGAAATTTGTCCAAAGCCGTGGAATACATTTGTTCAAAGCCAAGAGCGAACCTGAATATAAACCATGGCCTTTGGGTAATAATAATATGTCAATGCAGTTTCATCAATTTTAACACATGTACCACTTTGGAGGATAATGTTGATAGTGGTGTAGGCTATGCAAGTGTGGTGGCAGGAGGTTTATGGTAAATCTAAATAAAGTCTATTTTATTTAAAAAGCATAATTTCTACTCAGTTTTAAGGAACTTACCCTTTCTCATCATCTATGAAGGTTAATATTGAAGGTCAAGTTGATTGGATTGAAGGATGTAAAGTATTGATCCTGGGTGTGTCTGTGAGAGTATTGCCAAAGGATATTACCATTTGAGGCAGTTGGCTGGGTAAGGCAGACCCACCCTTAATCTGGGTGAGCACCATCTAATCAGCTGCCAGCAAATATAAAGCAGGCAAAAAAAAAAAAAAAAAAAATGTGAAAAGGCTGGACTGGCCTAGCCTCCCAGCCTACACCTTCTCCCATGCTGGATGCTTCCTGCCCTTGAACATAGGACACAAAATTCTTCAGTTTGGGACTCGGACTGGCTCTCCTTTCTCCTCAGCTCTCCTTTCTCCTCAGGCCCAGAGCCTGTGGAGGACAGAATGATTTTTGTGGACCCGGCCAGGGTTCCATTGCTCTGTTCAGCCTTGGGATGTTGCTCCCTTCATCTAGGCTGCTCCAGCTCCAGCCTTGGCTCAAAAGACTCAAGGTACAGCTCAGGTTGCAACTCTGAATGATGTAAGCCATAAGCCTTGGTGGCTTTGATGTAGTATTAAAGCTGCAGGTTCTCAGAGTAGAGGAGGCATGACAGCTTCCACCTAGATTTCAGGGGATGTATGATATGGTTTGGCTCTGTGTCCTCACCCAAATCTCATGTCGAACTGTACTTTCCAATGTTGGGGGAGCAAGCTGGTGGGAGATTACTGGCTCATGGGGGTGAATTTCCCCCCTTGCCGTCCACATGATAGTGAGTTCTCATGAGATCTGATGGTTTAAAAGTGTGTGGCACTTCCACCCTTGCTCTCTGTCTCCTGCTGCCATGTGAAGAACGTGCTTACTTCCTTTTTGACTTCTGGCATGATTTTAAGTTACCCAAGGCCTCCCAGTCATGCCTCCTGTTAAGCCTGCAGAACTGTGAGTCACTTAAACCTCTTTTCTTCATAAATTACCCAGGCTTGGGTAGTTCTTTTTAGCAGCGTGAGAATGAACTAATACATTGTATGAGATAGCCTGGGTGCCTGGGCAGAGCCCCTGCAGTGAGCCTCTACTAGGCAGAGTCAAGGGGGAATTGTGGGGTTGAAGCCTTCCCACAGAGTTCTCACTCAACAACTGCCTAAAGGAGCTATGGGAACAGGGTCATTGTGTTTTAGAATCCAAAATGGTAGGTAGATCGACTGGGAGGCTTCATCCCTGAGCTTAGAAAAGTGGCAGACTCTCAATTCCAACCCATAAGAACAGCTACCTAAACTCTGCCTAGGAAAGTCCACCGTGGTGGGGCTGTGCAAGGCCTTGGGCGCCCACCCCTCATACAGGGATGCTAGACATAGAGTCAAAGGAGATTATTTTAGAACTCTAAGATTTAATGACTGCCCTGTGGGGTTTCAGTCTTGTGTGGGGCCTGTAGCTCCTTCCTTTTGGACACTTCCTCTCTCTTGGAGTGGGCATGTTTACCTAATTCCGGTGCTCCTATTGTATCTTAGAAGTAAATAATTGATTTTTATTTTATGGGCTCAAAGGTGGAAGGAGAGAAGTCTCAGATGAGACTTAAAAGACTTTCGACTTAATGCTGGAATGAGTTAAGACGTTGGGAGACTGTTAGGAAGAGATGATCATATTTTGCAGTGTGAGAAGGATATGAAACTTGGGGGTTCAGGGATGAAGTAATATAGTTTGGATATTTGTCCGCTCCAAATCTCATATTAAAATGCAATTCCCAGTGTTGGAGATGGGGCCTGATGGGACATGCTTCTATCATGGGGGCACATCACTCATGAATGGCTTAGCGCCACGTCCTTGGTGAAGAGTGAGTTCACACAAGGTCTGGTTGTCTAAAAGTGCTCTCGCTCTTGCCATGTGAGATACATGCTCCTCCTTTGCCTTCTACCATGATTGTAAGCTTCCTGGGGCCTCTCCTGAAGTCGATGCCAGTACTACACTTCTTGTACTGTCTGCAGAACTGTGAGCCAATGAAACTTCTTTTCTTTATAAATTATCCAGCCTCAGGTATTTCAGTACAGCAACACAATAATGGCCCAATTTAGCTAGTAAGACATTATTCCTGAGTTTGTCTGTGAGGGTTTCTGTATCAGGTTAGTATTAATTGGTGAACTGAGCAGAGCGGATGGGCTTCCCAATATGGGTCTGCATCATGCAATTTGTTCAGGGCTAGAATAGAGCAAAAACAAAAATAAAGGAGGAGCGAGTTGTTCTTTCTGCTTGTGCTGACATCATCTTCTTGACTTCAGTGCTTCTGATTCCCAAGCTTTTGGACTCAGATGGATACTTACACAACTGGTCCTCCGATTCTCAGGACTTTGGACTTGGGCTTATTTATACTACCAGCTTATTGGTTTTCTAGCTTGCAGATGGGAAATTGTGGGACTTAGTCTCCATAACTTCATCAGCCAATTCACATAATCAATATTCATATGTGTATGTATCTATATCTATATATCTCCTATTGGTTCTGTTTCTCTGGAAAACCCTGACTAATTCAGAGGTATGTAGTACATGGCCAAGGAATATTGGAGGAATTAATTAATAAAAGCCTATATTCATAAATTATAGTAACTACACATGATACAAAGCCATAAGTGTTTTAATTAATGTGATATCATCTTTGAAAAATACAGCTCTCTCTTTTTTTTAGGTAGAGCTTATAATTGTAACATTTACTAGACAAATTTAATTTCCTAATCATTAATCATTTCGTTAATCAATCAAACTTTGTTATTACCGTGAGTGGTTTCTTTTCTCATCTACTTTCTCCAGCTTTCTGGCATTAGGACCATGACTGCAATAGTCACTTTTTTGATCCCCATATTTATGCAAATGCAGTTTTTATTGCTCTCTCATCCCATCTCAATCAGATTTCTTCCACAAGCCCAAATATAATTGGAATCCTTATGAACAATTTAGAAATTCTAAGCTTATACTTGTGAGCGTCTGGCTTTTTCCACACACATCCCAATTTGCTCTGCCTTTGCATAGCTGTCAAATATTTAGACTACCCATGGAAGCATGCTGTAACTGCTTGTTGAGGAAAGAAAGGAGGAGGGTCTGAATTTTTTAAAGGTTTTTATGTAAGGGTTATCTCTATCCAGCCTATCTTCACCCTTTTTTTTTTTTTTCAAATAATACACTTTTTCTCTGTTTTTCTAGAATGAAAATAATAATATATTAAACAGAATATATTGCTATAAACAATAATGTTGGAGAAGGCAGAATACATGGGTTTTGATTTTCCTCTCTACTTATTATTTCTATATGCATTAAGTGTTTCACTTCATCTTTATGGACTTGAGTTATCACTTCTGCAAAATGTTATATTACTTGTCTTAAACAAGAGATGGATACTAGAATGTATCTTGAGTAGCCACTTAGCTCCTGGATCTATAATCTTAGCTCAGCAGAAGGTTGTTGTAGCAAAATAGAGTTACTCCTGAAAACATGAAGTACCAACACTTACATACATTTAGAATTTATACAATCAAATTCTATAAATTTGATTTTATAGAAACATCACTGAAACATCAAAACAGATATTACTTTTCATAGGAGAAGGATCGTAAAGAAAGGGCATTTGTACATGTTTCCACTCTACATCCATCCAGCCCTGTCAGTCCATTCCATAGTTCTCTATTTAATAATGGTTACCATGGAAAATAATATTTTAAAACTTTAACAAAGACATGTATATTAAATTATTCAGTTTTCAGATTTACTTTTTTCCCAAATTACACATTCTCTTGCATAAATAATACATTGAAAACAGCAAGTGAATTTTCAACTATTTTATTCTCTGCTTTTAACAGTGCCTCAAATAATTGTGAAATACAGATCTCAGAGCTAGAGGGGAGTCTCCAGAGACCTGTTCCTTCCAGGTGACTGTTTGATTTAAGCTTGCAGCAGTTCTAACGGATGCCAGTGTCTAATGACTGGTGGCCTCTTGAAAAGTTGTGAGTTGCGGTTTTTATTCCATCCTCTGAAAAATAGTCAATAGATGCAGAATTGAGCAATATTTGTTACTATTTCAAGGAAAAGACCAACTGGAAATGGATTAGAAGAGGATAAAAACGTCAGGCATTTTAACTTTACATTTCACAGCATGGCTTTGGAGAACCAGCAAAGCACAGGATTCATTAGACCTGGATTCAAGTACTGGCTGTGTCAATAATTACCAGTGTGACTTTGAACTTTAATTTCCACCTCCTAATAAATGAGTTGATTGCAATGAATGAAATATAAGTTCCTTTTTTTAATTATAAAGTTAATATATACAAATCACTGTAAAACTTGAAAACAGAAGCATTAAAAATCTAAAATCACTCATAAGAGTACAGCTATTTTTCATGTTATTAAAAATATAATTGTGTGATTTGATTCATATATAGAAAGTATAATTGATTTTTTCACAGGAATTGATTATAATTTAGCTTTTATCTTTTTAAAATTACAAAAGACTGATGAAAATATTTCCATATTTATGTTAGTCCATATATTTTATTATTCAGTAATAGGAAAATATTAGATCAAAGGATACCACTAAATTAGAATAAACATTTGAAAAAATCTTAAATTCTGAGCTAAGATTGTAAGTTTTCGTGAAGATTCAGAAGATATGGAAGGATTGGGCACGACCAATTTATGGCCAAGAAAGCTCTAAATTTAGCCTTTCTGAGGATAATCAACTAGAGTGCTCTGCACAAACTTCACCCTCAGCAAGACCCTATTTTTTAAAAAAAATAAATAAAAATCTAAAGGAGAGAAAAAATCTTAATGGTGAGGTTACAAAAAACTGTATATATTACATTGAGCTTTCAGGCTTGTTTCTCTAAACTGGCTTTTTGTGGTACCTGCAGGCATTTTCAATGATTGTTGTAAATAATTTCTGCTATATCCAATGTCGGGCAAACATTTTGCTGAGGAGCAATTTTGATTGTGTATTTGAGAGACAAAAAACATTGCAACATTTTTGCTCTGGCTGCGTACTTTTCGGTTGAACTTTTAAAGCATCATGTCTGTCAGCGTATACCTTACAGTCTTATTTAACTGTCATATTAGGGAAGGTAAGTGTGCATTCTCCAAATTTGTCACTAGATGGAAGAAGAGAACTTTCATTAGATTCCAGTATAGGCATTTTACTTGCTAAAATTTCAATATAGATAGCATTTAGTTAGATTCCATTAGATAAATGGATTTGGTGAGATTCTATTGTATCTCTTTGAAGCCACTGGCAAATTTTGTTCATCTTCAAAATGTTTAGAACATCTCTCAATGCATGGAGCTACAGAAATTTGTAGAGCCTTCTGTCTATGGTGGCAAGGTTATGCTGAGGAGTGGCCATTGCTGCTGAAACAAGTTTGTCAGTCTGGAGGTCTTGCAGATATACCTGGCCTGAGGACGAGCACACATCACACCATCCGTCTTTGGCCCTGAATCTTCTGAGGGTAGCTCTCTGGCATTCCTCTGAGCAGACTGTAGCTTGATCAGGAGCATAGTAAAACTGGCAACACGCCCTTTTCAAAGATACAGTTTAAATTTTGCAGCGCTATGTGCCTGTAACTTTAAGATTGTAAATTTCTGTTTTTTTTGTAACCTCTAGTCATTTGGTTATTTCATTTTCTTTAAAGCTATTTTTCAGCTGCTCATATCTAGACACCATGATCCTTTCTGTCTTGATGTCCCTCCAATATCTTTGATCAGATTTTAAAAATATTGTCCACGTAATCTAGTTTTTTTAATGAAATGATTTATAGAAATTACCCAGACTGCCATCGCCATATGACTCTAATTTGTTCAAATATGCCCTGCATATACACACATCTTTGTACACCAAGTAGGTTGTAATTATATGTTTGATCAATTTTAGCATAGAATACTTAACAATAAATACTATTATGTGATGTATCTTATGAATTTTCTAACAGATTAAATTCAATACTTTAAAAAATTTGTTTTCTTTTATTTTGTTATTTTATAGTGATCCTAGCACAACATGAGAACTGCAGTCTTGACAAATCTTAAGTTTACATTATTGTTGACTGTAGGGATAATGTTATACAACAGATTGCTAGATATTTTTATATTTATTTATATTTATATTTTATTTTAATTTATATTTATCTTGTTTGACTGAAACTTTATACTCATTTTCTTTGACAATCATGATTCCACATTTTGATTCTATGAATTTGACTAACTTAAATTCTTCATGTAAATGTTGTCATGCAGTACTCGTCTTTCTTTGCATGTGTTTTATCTCACTTAACGTAATGTGTTCCAGGTTCATCCATGCTGTCACACATTGCAGAATTTCTTTCCTTTTAAAGGCAGAATAGTATTTCATTAGTTGTATATATCACATTTTCTTTATCCATCCAGATATCAATGAACAGCTAAATTGTTTCCACATCTCAGCTATTGTGAATAGTGCTTCAGTGAACATTGAAGTGCTAATATCTCTTTGAGATTCTAGTTCCAGGTTTTTTTTTGGATAAGCATCTATAAGTAAGATTGCTGGTTATAGGGTAGTTCTATTTTTAATTTTTTAAGAAACCTCCATGCTGTTTTCCATAGGGGCTTCACAATTTGACATCTGCATTAACAGTGTAAAAGGAATCTAATTTCTCCATATCCTTGCCAATATTTGTTATCTTTTAGGTTTTTTGATACTAACCATCCTAACAGATATGAGGAGATATCTGATTGTAGCTTTTAGTTTTATTTCTCTAAAGATTAGTGATATTGAGCGATTTTTCATATACCTGTTGGTCATTTGTATTTATTCTTTTGTGTGTGTGTGAGACAGAGTCTTATTCTGTCACCCAGGATGAAGTGCAGTAGTGCAATCATAGCTCACTGCAACCTCAACCTCCTGGGCTCAAGTGACTCTCCCAGCTCAGCCTCCAGCTGAGCTGGGACTACAGCCATGTCATGCCTGGCTTTTTTTATTTTTTGTAGAGACGAGGTCTTGCTATGTTGCCCATGCTGGTCTTGAACTCCTGGCCTCAAGCAATCCTCCCGCCTTGGCCTCTCAAAGAGCTGCAATTACAGGCCTGAATCCATGCCCAGCCATGTATGTCGTCTTTGGAAAAATATCCATTCCAGTACTTTGTCCATTTTTAATGACCTAAATTCTGTGGGATTTTTTTAGTGGTTTTGATATTGAGTTATAGAAGTTTCTTATATATTTTGAAAAGTAATCCCATATCTGATATATGGTCGCAAATATGTTCTCTCATTCAATAAGTTTTCCTTTCTCCCTCTTGATTTTTTTTTCTTTGCTGTGAAGAAGCTTTTTAGTTTGATGCAGTCCTCTGTGTCTGTTTTTGCTTCAGGTACTTGGGCTTTTGGTGTTAAATCCATGAAATCATTGCCAAGACTAAGATCATAAAAAATTTCCCCTATGTTTTCTTTAATATGTTTACAGTGTCAGATTTTACACTTAAGTTTCTAATCTATTTTGAGCTAATTTTTTGTGTATGGTGAAAATTTATCCCTGCTCTCTTTTTGTTACCATTTGGATAGAATATATTTTCCCATGTCTTCACTTTTACCCTATGTGTGGTTTTAAATCTACAGTGAGTTTTTTTGTGAACAGTGTATTTGGGTCTTTCTAAAAAGATTTATTCAGCTACATATGTCCTTTGATTGCAGTATTTAGTCTATTGAAATTTCAAGTAATTATTGATAGTGATATAGCTACCATTACCATTTTAACCGTTTAATGAGTCTCTTTTAGTACCTTGTTTCCTTTATTGCTGTCTCCCTTTGTGTGCTGTTGATTGTTTTTTATTAATATGCTTTCATCCCTTTCTTTTTTCTTTTGTGTAACTTGTATAGGACTTTGTTGTGGCTACCTGTGGGTTATATAAAATATCTCATAGTTATAAGAGTCTATTTTAAGCTGATAAGAGCTTAAGTTCAATTGAATACATAGCTCTACATTTTATTTCTCTCTTCCCCCACACATATTTAATGCTATTGTCATCTCAGTTTACACCTATTCTTATTTTGTATGTTTTAATACATTTTTACTTATTATGCTTGTAATACTTTTTAAACTTTTATACTAGAATTAAAAGTGATTTACTTGCCACTATAGTATATAGTATTCTGTATTAATCTACATATTTACCTTTAACAATGAATTTTATATTTTCTTATGTTATTGTGGTGCTATTTAGCATTTTTTCTTTTCAAGTTGAAGAACTTCCTTTAGCATTTCTTGTAAGCAGGTCTAGCAGTTAGGAACTCCCTCAGGTTTTGTTTGATGGAGAAGTTCTTTATATTTTCTTAATTTTTGAAAGACAATTTTATACTCTAGGTTAACGTTTTGGTTTTTTTTTTCCTTTCATCACTTTGAATAAAACATCTCATGTACTCTGGCCAGTGAGTTTTCTGCTAAACATTCTACTGAGAGTTTTATGGAGGTTTATGTGACAGATTGGTTTTCTCTTATTGCTTTAAAAATTCTATATTTTATCTTTTGCCAGTTTGATTTTAGTGTGTCTTCATTTGGATTCATCTCATTTGATGTACTTCGGGATTTGGGATTTGGATATCCGTTGCCTTTCCAGATTTAGGAAGTTTTCAGCTGTTATTTATTTGAATAATCTTTCTTGATTTTTCTTTCTCTCTTATTTTGAGATTCCATGATGCCTTTACTTGTCTGCTTGATTGGTTTCATCATTCTCTTAAAATTTCTCCACCCTTTTTAATTCTTTTATTTTTAATTTTTACTCTCTCTTTTTTTTTTTTTTGAGACGGAGTCTCGCTCTGTCGCCCAGGCTGGAGTGCAGTGGCGGGATCTCGGCTCACTGCAAGCTCCGCCTCCCGGGTTCACGCCATTCTCCTGCCTCAGCCTCCCGAGTAGCTGGGACTACAGGCGCCCGCCACTACGCCCGGCTAATTTTTGTATTTTTTTTTTTTTAGTAGAGACGGGGTTTCACTGTTTTAGCCGGGATGGTCTCGATCTCCTGACCTCATGATCCGCCCGCCTCAGCCTCCCAAAGTGCTGGGATTACAGGCGTGAGCCAACGCGCCCGGCCAATTTTTACTCTCTTAAATGAGTTGTTTGCAGTGAGCTGTCTTTGAGTTTGCTGACCTTTTTTTCTGCCTAATCCAATCTTCTCTTAAATGCCTCTAGTAAATGTTTCGGTTCAGATATTGAATTCTTTGGCCCCATGATTTTAGCTTGGAACTTTTTATATTTTCTATCTCTATGAAAATTCTCATTTTTTTCATGCATTGTTTTTTGGACCTCAGTTGATTTTCAATTATCTGTCAGGTAAATCATACAACTCAATTTCTTTAGAATGGTTTCTGAAATTTTATCCTGTTCCTTTGTTTGGAACATCTTTGCCTAGTTGGTCCTTTCTCTTGTCTCTCTGTGTTGGAGTCTGCGCATTATACAAAGCAGGCTTCTTTCCCAATCTCTGCAGACTGGCCATATACAGGAGAAGACTCCATCTATCAGCTTAGCCAGAGATCCCAGGAGCCTCTATCAACAATTTCCCTTCCCAAAGAGAAACACATCACTGTGGTTTTTATCTTCTCACTCTGTGCTGAGTTGGGGAAGGGAAGAAGCTATGATGTCTACCAAGCCACATTGGTAGGCTAATAGTTAGACCTTTGACAGGTCTAACACAGCCACATCATAGGCTGCCAAAGTTCAGGACTAGTGGGACAAATGCTGATTCTTTGGACATCCCTGGAGATTTCGAAGTGATGGACACATGAATCAACTCTTTTTCTCCCCAGCAGTGATTTCTTTATCTGCTTATTCTGTGCTGAGGTATTTTTTTTATCTGCTCATTCTGTGCCAAGCAATCATTGGCATTTGTAGTATTTTTGTTTGTTTGTTTCTGTTTCATTTAGTTCTTTTCTTATCTTGGACATTTCTTTTCTTCTGCCGGGTTCGGGTTTGGTTTATTCTTGTTTCTCTAGTTCCTTGAGGTGTGACCTTAGATTGTGTGTTTGTGCTCTTTAAGACTTTTTGATGTAGGCATTTAATCCTATGATCTTTCCTCTTAGCACTGTTGTTGCTGTATCCCAAAGGTTTTGATAGGCTGTATCACTATTATCATCCAGTTAAAAATTTTTTTAAATTTCCATCTTGATTTCAGTGTTGACCCAACAATCACTCAGGAGCAGGTTATTTAATTTTTATGTATTTGGATGGATTTGAGGGTTCGTTTTAAAGTTAATTTCCAATTTTACTCCATTGTGCTCTAAAAGAGTACTTGATATAATTTCAATTTGTTGAAACTTCTTTTGTGGTCTACCATATGGTCTATCTTGGAGAATGTTCCATCTGCTGATGCATAGAATGTATATTCTGCTGTTGTTGGATAGACTGTTCTGTAAATATCTGTTAAGTCCATTTTTTCTAGGGTATAGTTTAACTCCATTTTTTCTTTGTTGACTTTCTGTCTTGATGACCTGTCTAGTGCTGTCAGTGGAATATTGAAGTCCCCCACTATCATTTGTGTTGCTCTCTATCTCATTTCTTAGGTCTAGTAGTGATTGTTTTATAAATTTGGGAGCTCCAGTGTTAGGTGCATATATATTTAGGGTTATGATATTTTCCTACTAGACTAGTGCTTTTATCATTATTTAATGTTTCTGTTTGTCTTTTTTAACTGTTGTTGCTTTAAAGGTTTTTTTTTTGTCCTATGTAAGAATGGCTACTCCTGCTTGCTTTTGATTACCATTTGCATAGAATATCTTTTTCCACCCCTTCACCTTAAGTTTAAGTGAGTCCTTATGTGTGAAGTGAGTCTCTTGAAGAAAGCAGATGGTTGGTGAATTCTGATCCATTCCACCATTCTGTATCTTTTAAGTGGAGCATTTAGGCCATTACATTCAACATTAGTATTGTGATGTGAGGTACTATTCTATTCATCGTGCTATTTGTTGCCTAATACCTTGGTTTAATTTCATTGTATTGTTGTTTTTTGGGTCCTGTGAGATTTACACATCTACTAGATTTACTTATTTATACATTTTATAGTTATGGAAAACTAAGTTGCATCAAACCCTTTGCTGTCACATACATGTCGTGATGAATGTCTTTTTGTCTGTGCTTATCTTTATGTTTTTGGTAATTTTTTAGAATTTATTTCTCAAGAGAGTTCATTGAATCATTCTGTATATGAATTCTGAAGTTCAGTAATTTCCGAAGTGGCTTTACCAATAGATTTACATGTCTACTAGCAAAACTTCATGTTTTTTTCCTCTGCACACCTTAACCAATACTTTGTGTTATACTTTTTCTAATGTTGAATGCCATCTAATTGAGATGTAATTTTCATATAATTAAATTTGATAGATATTAACCTTTTGTTGATTTAGACTTGCAGATACCTTTTTATAGTTTGTCTGTTAACGTTGTCTACCGTGTCCTTGGATTGAACTAGAATCTTTACTATTGATGTAGTAACATTTGTCAACATTCTGCTTTATGGTTTGTGTTTCTGTGTGTGTGTGTTTAAAGACAATTTTACTTAGTGAAATAGAAATTATCCTACCTTCTTTGTAGTAGATTTTCTCCCACACATTCTTGGTTTTAATAATTTGCTGTCTTCAATTTATTTATAAAATGTCCTGGTTTTAATCAATTTTTATAAGGGGTACAATTATGGATAGCATAAAGTAGGAAACTAGCCTTATTTTTTCCACATGTAGCATAAGGATGCAGTACAATTTTTCTGCAGCACTGGAACTAATAAATAAGTGATTTCCACGTGAATTATCAGTGTTTTCTTTATTATGTATCAAATTTCTGTGTATCCATTGTTCTATTTCTAAATGTTCTGTCTGTTCCATTCTCTTACTTTTCTGTTATTCAACATATACTGTATGTCTATCAAAATTTCAGTTGCTTTGAAATGAATAAATACTTAGTAGAATGTTTCCTTCCTTCCTCTTTGTCCCTTTTCAAAATTGGCTTAGCTCTCTGTTGACTTTTATGCTTTCATAATTGGCTTTACTGAGTTGATATAAAAACCTCTGGGATTTCTACAGATATTAGATAAATTTATATTTTGAATAGGACTGTCATGTTTGCTATATTAGCTTTTTTCCACTCATAATTGTAAAATAGAACCACATATTTAAGTGGTCCTTCTTGTCATGTCCTTGAATGTTAATGAAAATATGTTTAAAAGTTCTCCACATTACAAATATTAGATTGTTTGCTCTATTAATTTGTTTTTTCAATTTAATGAAGTTTCCTATTTCAAGTTCCTGAAAGTTGTATTATCAATAGGTTACTAATATGGTAGCATGCTTTTCCTGAAAATATTAGAAAATCATAAGATGTTATTTATTAACTCATTAATATAATTTCTATTGTTAGATTCTCTGATCTTCGATCATCTTGTATTTCTATTAATGAACTATGCAGTTAATTTTATAAATATTTCATATTTAGAAATTTGGCATCCTTTTTCAGGAATCTGATTAGCTAATTTTTTCATTTCATAAAATGAATTGGTCAGCTTTCCACCTCTTTTATATACTCTGGAATACCTTCTATAATATGAAGATTCCTTTTCTTGAATATTTGGAAGAAACACCTGTAAACATTATCTGTATATTTTCTTTAAGGTAGAGACATGTTCCTTGGTTAGTTCAATTTCTGCTTTTTAAAAAAAGTTTCTATCTTTTCTTAAACAATTATACAAATTAAAAACCTTCCAGAAATTTATTCATGTGACTAAATATTACAAAATTTATTAGTATGTCATTTTTAATAATTGTTTTATTCTTTTAATCTGTTATCTCTGGATTGTTCTTTTTGTCGTTTTTATTTTTATTTGCTTAACTCAATAAATTTTGATAAGGCTTTATTATATTATTATTATATTGTTTGTAAAAGATCCAGCTGCTAGTTTTATTATTTCTCTTTATTTATTTTTTTAATATTGCCATTTTATTTATGTGGAATTTATTCTTTATATTCATGTTTTTACACTTATCCGGTTGTACTGAAAAGAGTATTATTAGTTTTTTATTTCTATTTTTAATTATTCATGTTCTGATAAATATATACAAAGGAGCAATTTTATGAAACATTTAATGTAGAATGTAGAATATTAGTTCCACTGTATCTCATAGATTTTGGCCTGTAAAAGTGTCTTTAACATTCAATCCTAATCATTTTATAGCCTCTATGATATTTTGATTTTTAACTAAGAGTTTCTCATTAACATGTAGTTTCCAGATACATGGGGTTTATAAAAAAATTTTATTGTGATTTTTTATTTTAAATAAGTTGTTTTTGAAAATATATTATTTGTGATATAAATTAGAATTCAGTGAGAGTAATTTTTGAACCATTATAATCAGTGTTTCCTGTGTTCAAAGTTTGCTTAAAAATGTCTGTTCTCTTAGTACTGAGTGGTAAATTTTGTGCATCTATTCTAGCGTATTATTTGTGTTATGCTGTTATTCTTCTATATTGAATCAGCTGAGAAGAGTAAAAGATACTAGAGGGGGAAGAAAGTCCTCATATGTTGTTGAATGAGGATGAGGATCCTGTTGGAAAGGAAATAAGAATATTTTATTGTCCAATTTTTTTCTGGACTGAACTACCTATGACTTACTTTTAAATAATTAAATGAAAACTTGAAAAGAGACATAAATCATATCATTCTTCATATTACTGCTAGTTTCATGTATATCTGGATTACTTAGGTAGCAAGGTTTGAAATAATGTAACAAGTGTGTCATTTTGAATTTAAGTCACCGAAACAAAATATCAGAGGAATAGGGCTCTCATAGAATATTTTATGTCAGGGGGACAATGTGTTTAGATACTTTCCTCTTTGTACAACTACATTTTAATATAGTATACACATATATGACATTTAGAAAAAAAGTTTTAATTTTCTTTTTTAAATTGTACTTTTCATATCCTCCAAATAACTTCAAAAGTTTTAGGGTTTCAAAAATCAAGAAGCTTCTCATCACAACACTGTAATTATATATCATCAATGTTTAGGCTTAATACTTTGGAATATCTTTCATGCCACTTTCAGTAAGATTTCACCCACTCATGCTTGTTCAGTAAGGTCAAGAATATAAGCCTGAGAACCACTGGAAGGATTCCAGAGTGGAAATTCAAAAACAGTAATTTTTCTACAGAAATATAATTGAGTGCACAAAGGTTATGTTAGGTCAGAAAGAGAGCTGTGTTCAGTGGAACTAGAAAAGAATTAAAACGTTTACACTGAAGATAATTAGCATGGTGTGAAAATATGACACTTAATTTCCCACAAAAAAGTGTTATTAAACCACCCTACATATGATTGTTTGTAGATGACAGTGTTTTACCATAGAATGTTAAAAGATTTAAAAATAGAATAATAACAGAGGAAGAGTTTTGACAAAGTCCCAAGGATGATTTATATTATCCACTGGAGTAAAAACTCCAGATAACACAATTGTTTCCTAAGTTGAAACAGTTGAGATTTAAGAAAATGAAAAATCAAAGTGAATGAAATCTACAAACCTTTTAGCTAAATGAAGTCATTCTAGAACTACTTACTTTTATTTACCTATATATATATTTTGCCTAAGACTATAATCATTATTTGAATTGATGTTTAAAATCAATATGAGATTACATAGCCCCTCATTATAAAGTATTTACTGAATAGTTGCTATGGGCAACCATGTGTATGTGTGTTTTTTTAAATACGTATAGATTATGAAATATATTTTGTGCCCTTAAAGAGCTCAGAGTTTACTATCATAGGTGTTGATCTTGTAATAAATAGTTCTGATCCATAATATTTTAGTTCTCTTACTTCTGGGACATGGTGGAATTGCACCATTCTGGTTACAAGTGAGCAGTGGTGAGCCTATCACCTCCAGTGATAGCTTATAAACTCCCATATATATTTTATTATGCTTCCTCCTTGACTATATCTAGTGGTATTCTAAATATAGAGACTCCAACAGTATAAGTCTCTAAGTGAGGACATCATCAAGCATGTCCTCTTCCAAAGGAAAATCTAATGCCTTATGTCTGTCCTGATCAACACAATAATTGTTACATTATTAACAACATTTACCTGTTTATCTGCTCAAAAATATTTACTGAGCATTCTATTAAAACCACCATACTCAGTGCACTAAATATCAGAGATATAAAGTTGATGACTTGCTAATAATGATAGATAGACAAATAAACAATAAAGTTATATCTTCTCTGTTAGCAATCAGTATGTTGCATGGCATGTAAATATATGACCTAAGTGACTGGCTTTGTGTGATTGAAAGGAAATAATCAGAAATATGATCCTTCAGCTAAAATCTTGAATGAGGGCAGAATGCTTTCACTGGATTTAGTAAAAAGGAAGAATATAGAATAAATAGTATTGCAGACAAAAGTTGCTCCATTAGCATGTCAAGTTTTCTGAAACATCACAGGAAGTTTATGAATCTGAAAAATAGTACAATTGCAAAAAGGAGAATCAAAACTTAAAAGATATTTTAAGTCATGGTAAGGAAATTTACCTCTATGCTATGAGCCATGTGGATTCTCTGAAAGATTTTAAGCAGGAACAGGTACTTTAGATATAGGATTAGGTCTGAAAAAGTCCACTCCAACAGGAATAAAAATTAGAGTTTAAGTTGGGCAGCATGAGTTACAGAAACTGTGCTGAGAATATGTTATCAAATAAGAAAGTCAGAGAGGGAAAGCAGAGGAGAGAGAAAATAATAGTGAGGGGAGAGCATGTAAGGATGATGTTAAGAAGGCAAAACCCACATAAAAATGATAGTTCATTTTTATTGAGCACTTTATCTGTCCCAGGCACAGTGATAACTTCTTTACAAGAGTTTTTATACCTAATCTTTATAATAGAATTAAGCTTATGAGTTAGGTAACCTCTATGAGGCACAGAGAGGTAAAAGAGCTGGGGAAATTACATAATTAGAAGTTGTAGTCCAGGAATTGGGCACAGGCAATTTGACCTTAGGCCAAATTCTCTTAAACACTAGTCTATACATACCACCCCCGCCGCCCCAAGCAGGATAAAAATTCATGGTCGATTGTGTAATAGTATTATGTAGTATTTATAAAGAGATTCAGGCAGTATGACAGTTCAAGAAAAAAAAACTAGAAATATTTTTAAAAGGACTTCATCAGAGAGATGGTAATTGAAATAGACCTTGACAAGTGGCTAAGATTTCAATAAGTAAAATTGGTGACAAGTTCATTCAGATGTGATTAAATATATAAAATGAAGAACTCATGAGAAGTTTTTGTAATGAGTAAAAAAGGAGTTTTGTGATACATGGAGAAGGAAAGTATTACAATTATTAAGAAATTTTATACAGAAGCAAATAACTTAGTCTTTAATAACTATGTGCTCATTGGAGTTAAAAAAAAATAAGCCTAGTATGGTATATTGAGATCAGATTACACAAGGCTTTAAAAGTTAATTTAATTATGTACTTCTTGAAAGTTTAGGCCCTAAAAAGAAAGTTCATATATGCTATGCCTTAGTCTGATAAGTCTGAAAGTGAAGAAAAGAATGGTTGTCGTAGACTCAATTAGAAGTTTATTCGAGTAGATCAGACAAGATATAATTGGACCTTACAGAACTAGTGGTGAGGTGTAAAGAAACTGAAGATTTAGGGACGATAAGACATATAAGCGTTACTGGATGTGGGAGATTTCAAAATAAACTATCTAGTAATAAGGTAAAGCTTTTGTCACAGGATCCTTGGGGTGTAGCTTTTCCAGCCAGAAACCTCTGTGGCTGGTGGCACCTTTGCTCAACTCTTTCTTGGGCCCACTGGGCTTGTTCTACCCACTCAGCGTGGCAGGTTGCACTTGGCTTGTGCTACTGGCCTGGATCCCAAGCCTACCAAGGGTGAGCCAGGTGTGGAGTGGTGAGGGGTGTGTGAGCAAATGAGTATGGTACCTGGCCACTGTGCACAGCCAGGCACACTAGATGCAGCAGGGTGAGCAGCTCCAGGGACCAGCATGGATGCCAGCTCCCTGTGAGGCTGCAGCTGGACCAGGAGTACTGCAAACCCCCTCCACAGCACTGCGAAATGTGGTGGCACCCAGAAGCTTGGAGATGCCAGGAACTGCAAAGCCCCAAAGAGGGTGTTGCAGCCTGGTTTGGAGAACTCCTGGGTCTGGGCTTCCCAAAGGGCTGCAGCTCTTATCTCCATCTCTCTTCTATCCTTGTCACCTGTAACGTGGTGAGCAAGGGGCACGTTTCAGCCCTGTTTGTGTTACACCTCTTTCAGCCCCACCATTTGGCAGGTCCCAAGTTCTTGTCCTGCATCCAGGAAGAATGAGGTATATGGACAAGTGGAGGGTGAACAAGGCAAAGAGGTGTTTCGTTGAGTGACAGAACAGCTCAGAGGGGACCTGCAGTGGGTAGCTCCTCTCCCCCAAGCAGGTCATCCCAATGAATGTTCAGTTCTCAACAGAAAGGAGGCTTACAGTGGGTAGCTTCTCTCCACAGGCAGGTTGTTCCATTGTTTTCTCAGCTCTCAGCAGAGAGGAGACCTACCTACAGTGAGAAGCTCCTCTTCATAGGCAGTTTGTTTGTCTGCTTAGCTCTCAGCAGAGAGGAGACCCACAGTGGCTAGCTCCTCTCCATGGACAGGTCATCCATCCTCTGCTTAGCTTTCAGCAGAGAGGAGACCCACAGTAGTTAGTTCCTCTTCACAAGCAGGTCATCCAGTCATCTGCTCAAGTCTGGCTGAGTCCGGGGTTTTTATGGGCTTCAGAGGGGAGGAAGTACATGCTTATTCGTTCATGGACAGCCATGGGCAGGCCAGGAAAAAGCAACCTAAGTTCTCATTTCGGTCCATGGAACTGGCAGCCCAGTTCCCAGGCCTCAGGCCATCCCTGGGCTAAAGGTGGGGTTTACTGGGGACCCACTCCTGCCTAGGAGTCTGTCTGCCTCCTGATGCCATTAACCTGCTGTCCATAGTGCTCATGATGCCCAGGCTGTTCATGCCAAGGGGCACCTGCAGGCCTGTGGTGAACTGACCTTAGCCCCCACTTGGCCTCCCTTCCTTGCTCGTTGGTGCCCAAAGTCTGGAGGGGGAGCTGAGGCGGCAGCAGTCTAGCATGTCAGTGCTGCCCTGAGCATGGGCACATTTGGCTATGTCGTGACAGTGTCCAGGCTTAGCCACAACTTTGCTCTGAAATCAGAGTGAGCACGAGGAGTAGAGAGAGGCCAGGCGGTGGGAGTAGGTACTTCTGAGCCTACAGGGACAGGGGGTTTTCTGGGCCCCAAAGAGTACAGAGATGCCCGGGTCTGCATTCGTGGCTGGGTGGCTACAGCTGTACACAGGAGGATGGGGCTCCAGCTCCTCCAACTTGGAAAGGAGAGGTGCTTCTGCCTCTTCCTGCACCTCTTGGCTCTGTGAAGTGCACAGCCCTGGCCAAGCCTCCCCTGCAGCAGCCAGTGTCATGGCTGCAGCCACTCCAGATGGGCTGCGGCTACCATCACTATCATATTCTTGCTGATAAAATATACTAACAAAGAGACATTAATAGTATTCTTACCCAAAATCAATAATTTGAATTTAGTCTTAGGAAATATAAAAAATAATACAATTTAGTGATATTTTACAAAATAACTGAGCTGTACTCCTCAGAAACAGAGTGATTTCAACAATCTGGCTTCACTTTCCCACAGATAAAATGAAAAAAAAAAGTATCTAATGCCAAGCTTATCACCACCAATATCCTGGAACTCAAAACTGAGGTTTATGAGAAATCCTAATGCCACAAATAAGTAAAACACTGAGCAGAAATTAGAAGAAATGGACTTCTTTATCTGTACACCTGCCTTCCGTACTGTAAGGCACTGTGTGGAAAAGTCTCCTGGACTAATGATTTCTATACTGGAAAAAGTGGCAATGAGGCATGCAGCCAGCTTCCCCATCAGCTTGGGTTTCTACACAGAACAGCTGTTTCTGCCTCAGCCCTCTCCCTCAGGGGAGCATTGTAACTGCCTGTGTGGAGAGGGACCCCTGTGGACAGCTGAATATAAACAGTAGAGATGGGGAATAGCAGCACCAGTGCAAAACTCACAGGCTGCTCTCCAACTCAGACAAAAAAGAATACAAATTAGAGAGGTTGTTCAGCTGCACTACGCAATAGAAAGCAGTCTTCACAGGCCCTCTGTGGATGAACTCCTAGACAGCCTCCCCACACAGCTGGAGAAACCCTTTCTAACTCCCCTAGTTGGGACTTTTTGCAAGAGCCATGGCAACTCTGGCTTTAAGGTGTCATCTAACGTCAAAAAGAAAGCAGTGATATAGTGTTAAAGGAATCCATAGAACCTTTAAACACACATATGTTGGAGAGACAGTAAAGACTGGAATAAGTAATCCTTCAACGTGAAGACACAAAAATATATCCTTAACAAACAACAAACAAGGAACCATGACCTCCCCAACTGGATAAAGCAAGAAGTCAGTGACTGACCCCAATGAACTCTCAGATCAAGAATTCAAAATAGCAGTCTTGTGGAAACTCAGAGAACTTTAAAGTAACATTAAAAAGCAATTCAGAAATTATAAGGTAAATTTAACAAAGAGATTGAAATAATTTTTTAAAATCAAATAGAAATTCAGGAGCTGAGAAATATATTAGATGAACTGTAATATGCATCTGTGGGTCTCATCAGAAAAACTAATAAAGGTAAAAGAATTAGTGATCTCAATGATAGGCTATTTAAAAATGCACAGTTAGGCCAGGCCTAGCGGCTGGCACCTGTAATCGTGGCACTTCAAGGCAGAAGGATCACTTGAGCCTAGTGGTTTGAGACCAGCCTGGGCAAGATGGTGAGGCCCCATTTCTACAAAAAGTTTAAAAAATTGGCTGGGCAGGGCATGATGGTGCATGCCTGTAGTCCCAGCTCCTTGGGAGGCTAGGGCAGAAGGATCACTTCAGCCCAGGAGATCAAAGCTGTAGTGAGCCATGTTCACGCCACTGCACTGCAGTCTAGGTGACAGAGTGAGACTTTGTCTCAAAAAAAAAAAAAAAAAAGAAATTAAACAGTCAGAGGGAAATAAGAATATTAAAAAGGAATGAGGAATGCCTACCAATCTAGAAAATAACCTCAAATAGGCCAATCTAAGAGTCATTGCCCATCTAGGAGGGTTGAGGGAGAACCAAACATAGATCTGATTTAAAAAAATAACAAAACCTTTCAAACCCAGAGAAATATATAAATATCTAAGTACAGAAAAGTCAAAGATCACCAAACAGATCCTACACAGATAAGACTACTCCAAGGTATACAGTAATAAAATTCTCACTGGTCAAGGACAAAGAGAATCCTAAGAGCAGAGAGAGAAAACAAGCAAATGACATAAAGGGGTACGAATTCATCTGGTAACAGACTTCTCACTGGAATCCAAACAGGCCAGGAAGGAATGGGATGTCATATTCAAAGGCCTGAAGAAAAAGAAAGCTGGCAGTCGAGAATATTGTCCCTCAGTAAACCTGTCCTTTCAACAAGAAGAGATAAAGACTTTCCTAGACAAACAAAAGCTGAAAAAACTCATTAGCACTAGAATTGTATTAAAAGAAATGCTAAAGGTAGTTATTTAATCTGAGAAAACATGCTAATGTGCAATTAAATATCAGAAGGTATGAAGCTCACTAGTAAAACTAAGTGCACAAACAATTTCTGAATACTACTGCAGTGAGGCGAGTAACAATTTACATCTCTAGTATGAAGATAATTACATAAAAATTAATAATTCCAACAATTTCTTAAGAGATGGGCAACAATGGAAATTCAGATAATAAAAGTCAAAATATGTGAGGTGATAAGTGTAAAAATTTTCAGTTTTTTTAATTCCTTCAGGATCAAAGTTATTTTTTCAAAATAAATTCTTATAAATACAAGATTTTTTTTGTAAGCCTCATGGTAAACATAAATCAAAACTTATAACTGATACACTAAAAATAAAAAGCAAGGAACCAAAACATACTACCAAAAAAAAAAAATCTATTATCCACAAAGGAAGACAGTAAAAAAAAGAACAGAGGACTTACTTACAAAACAACCAAAAAGTAAATAACAAGATGGCAGTAGGAAGTTTTTATGTAAAAATGATAATAGTGAATATAAATGGAATAAATTCTCAAATTAAAAAACATAGAATGATTGAATGGATTTAAAATACAGCCAACTATGTGCTACCTACAGAAAATTCACTTTACCTATAAAGTCATTTAAAAGTGAAGGAAAGGAATAGAAAAATGTATTCCATGCCAAAAAAGTAGGAGTAGCTATATTTATACCAGAAAAACAGACATCAAGTAACAAACTGTAAGACAGATGGAGAAGGTCACACTGAAAAAGAGGTAAATTCAGCAAGAGGATATAACAAATGTAAATATATATGTGAGCTGGCAGAGCTGGCATGGTGGCTTACACGTGTAATCCCAGAACTTTAGGAGGCCAGGACAGGCGGCTCACTTGAGCCCAGAAGTTCAAGACCAGCCTGGACCACATAGTGAGACCCCATCTCTGAAAGTAAGTTTAAAAATTAGCTGCATGTGGTATCATGTGCCTGTAGTCACAGCTACTTGGGAGGCTGAGGTGGGAGGATTGCTTGAGCCCAGCAGGTCAGGGCCACATTAAGCTGTGATCACACCGCTGCACTCCAGCCTGCACAACAGAGTAAGACCCTGTCTTCAAAAAAAAAAAAAAAAAGAAAAAGAAAAAAGTAAATATGTATACAGTCAACATCAGAGCATCAAAATATATAAAGTAGATATTAATAGATCTAAAGAGAAAGCGAGACTGCTATACCAAATGAACCTAACTGAAATTTATAAAACATGTCATCCAACAGCTGCAGAATATATGTTCTCATCAGCACAAGAAACATCATTTGGCATAGATCATATGTTAGTCCACATAACAAGTGAGAAAATTCAACAAAATTGAAACTGTACCAATTTTTTTATGGCCAGAATTGAATAAAAATAGAAATCAATAATGAGAGGAACTTTAGAAAAAGTACAAATACATGGAAATTAAACATATTTCTGAATGACCAATGGATCAGTGAAGAAATTAAGAAGAAAACTTAAAAATCTGTAGAAGGGAAAATAGAAATACAACATATCAAGACCTGTAGGATACCATAAAAACAGTAAAAAACGGAAAGTTCATTGCAATAAATGCCTACATCAAACAAGTAGAAAGACTACAAATAAACAACCTAATGATACATCTCAAGCACCTAGAAAAGCAAGAAAATAACTCCAAAATTAGTAGAAGGAAAAAAGAAAGATCAGAGCAGAAATAAATAAAATTGAGTCCAAAGTAATGATAAAAAGATCAATGAAATGAAGTCCAATTTTTAAGAAGGTAACAAAAATAACATTTAAGTAGACTATGAAAAAAAGTGAGATAACCTAAATAGAATCAGCAAAAAAAAGGAGACAACTAATGCTACAGAAATACAAAAGGGGATTAGATGCTATTATGAAAAATTATATGCCAATACATTGGACAACCTAAAAGAAGATGGATAAATTCCAAACTACATATAACCTACCAAGATTGAACTACGTAAAAACAGAAAACCATGCACAAACCAATAATAAGTAATGAGATCAAGGGAGTAATATAGTTACTTATCAAAGGAAAGTCCAAGATCTGATAGCTTTACTGCTAAATTTTACCAAAAAAAAAAAAGGGGGAAATAATACCACTTCTACTTAAACTACTCAAAAATGTTGAAGAAGAAATACTTCCAAACTCACTCTGAGTTCAGCCATTACCCAGCTGCTAAAACTAGACAAACAAAACTAGTCAAATATTCCTGAAGAGCATAGATCCAACAATCCTTAACAAAATGCTAGCAAAACAAATTCAACAACACATGAAAGAGATCATTCTCATGAACAATTGGGATTTATCCCAGGAATATAAAGATAGTTCCATATATATAAATCAATAAATATGATACATTGCATTAACAGAAACAAGGACAAAAGCTATATAATCATTTCAATAGATGCTGAGAAACATTCAATAAAATTCAACATTCCTTCAAGATAAAGACTATCAACAAACTGAGTATAGAAACAATATACCTCAAACCAATAAAGGCCATATATGACAAACTCACAACTAACATCATGCCTAATAAAGAAAAATTGAACACCTTTTCTCTAAGATCAGGAACAAGACAAGGCTGCCCACTTTCACCACTTTTATTCAACATAGTGCTGGGAGTTCTCCCCAGAGTAATTATGCAAAAGAAAAAAAAAAGGGCATCCAAATTGAAAAAGAAGTCAGATTGTTGTTGCTAAGACTTGTATTAGTCCATTTTCACACTGCTATAAGACTGCCCGAGACTGGTTATAAATAAAAGAGATTTAATTGACTCACATTTCTGCATGGCTAGGCAGGCCTCAAGAAACTTGAGAAATCATGATGGAAGGGAAAGCAGGCATTTTCTTCATAAGGTGGCAGGGTAGAGACAGAGTGAGACAAGGGTGAAGAGCCCCTTATAAAACCATCAGATATCTTGAGAACTCACTCACTATCACAAGAACAGCGTGGGGGAAACTGCCCCCATGATCTAATCACCTGCCACCAGGTCCCTCTCTCGACACGTGGGGATTACAGTTAGAGATGAGATTTGGGTGGGGACACAGAGTAAAACCATATCACTACCCAAAGTGATTTACAGATTCAATGCAATCTTTAGGAAAATATCGATGACAGTCTTCCCAGAAGTAGAAAAAATCTTAAAATGTATATGAAGCAACAAAGATTCTAGATAGCCAAAGAAATCCTGAGCAAAAAGAATAAACTGGAGGCACCACACTGTCTTCAAAATATACTACAAAGTTATAATAACACAAATAGCATGATTCCAACAGACCAATGGAACAGAATAGAAAACCCTGAAATAAATCTATGCATTATAGCCAACTCATTTTCAACAAAGGTGCCAGGAACATACATTTGGGAAAGAAAAGTCTCTTCAAGAAATAGTGCTGTTAAAACTAGATATCCATATGCAAAAGAATAAGACTGACTAGTCTCCTTTCTGTCACCATGTAAAAATATATATATATTAAAATCAAATGTGTTAAATATAAGACCTGAAATTATGAAACTATTAGAAGAAAATATTCGGGAACTGCTTTTGGCCATTTTTCCTGGCAAGGATTTTTGGGGTACAATCTCCAAAACGTAGACAACAAAATTTATATAGAAAAATATATACTGCTAGAAATCAAACAACTAACAGAGTGAAGAGACAACTCATAGAATGGGAGACAATATTTGTTAATTATGCATCCTACAAGGGATTAATAACCAGAATATATAAGGAACTCAACAGCAGAATCATCATCATCATCTGATTAAACGATGAGGAAATAATGAGTAGACATTTCTTAAAAAAAGACATACAAATGGATAACAATTATTTTAAAAATGCACAACATCATTAATCATCAGGGAAATGCAAATCAAAACCGCAGTGAGATATCACCTCACCCCAGTTGGAATGGCTGTTATAACAAGACAAAAAATAACTGATACTGGTGAGGATGTGGAGAAAAAGAAACTCACACATTGTTGATTTTATTGAAGTAGGGCATAGAATGGTGGTTATCAGGAGCTGGGAAGGGTATGGGAAAGGAGGATGAAAAGACATTGGTTAATGCATGCAAAGTATAGTTAGATAGAAGAAATAAGTTCTAATATTTGATAGCACAGTTAGGTGACTAAACAATTTATTGTATATTTCAACATAACTAGAGTAGAAAATTCAAAATGTTCCCAAGAAAGAAATGATAAATGCTGAGGTGATGGGTACCCCAACTACACTGATAGGATTTTTACATGTTGTATACATATATCAGAATATCACATGTATACCAGAAATTTGTATAATTATTATGTATCAATAAAAAAAGAAAAAGCCTAGGTTAATGAAGAAAAAGAAACACTGAGAGGGTATTCCAGACTTGAAAAAGATAAAGTACCATGGCAAGCAAGTACAAATATGATTCTAGATGGAACCTGCATCCAGTTTTTGTTTGTTTTTAAATTGTTTTTGTTATAAACTACACTGAAATAATAACTGGTAAATATAAATATGGTCAAGATTAGATAATATTATTCTGATTAATATGATTCATGGGTTTTGATAAAAGTACTCTGAGTTTGTAAGAAAATATTCTTTGTCATATGAAATAGACTGATGTATTTCAGAAATAAATTTCAAACTTTGACAACATACAGAGTATGCTCTCTGCCTAAAATGAAATTAAATTAGAAATAAACAAAAACAAAATAAATAGAAAAGCCTCACATAGTTGAAAATTAAATAGTGAATGTCTAGATAACCATTGGTTTGGAATTATTTTAAACTAAATAATAATACATAACATAAAATGTTGGTGATGCTCATAAAATAGCATTTATTTAAATGAAAACTTTAAAATCTGGTCCTATTCAAAAATAAAAGTTTAAAATTAGTTATCTAAACTTCCACACTGAGGTTAAAAAAAATGAGCAAATTAAAACCAAATTAATAGAGGAGATAATAAAGGTAATAGAAGAAATGGATGAACTAAAGAACAGATAAACAATAGAAAAAATTAGAGCCAGTTTTTAGTACGAAATAAAATTAAGTTCTAGAAATACTTATCAAAAACAAGTAAAATATATAAATTATCAATCTCAGGAATGAAATGAGACATCACTAAAGATCATAGAGTTATAAAAATGATAAGATAATACAAAGAATATGCTGACACATTCAAACATTAATTGCAATGGAACTATTTCCCGAAAAATAATTATAAAACCAATAGAAAATAGAAAATTTGAAAATCCCCATATCTATTAATGTATTTAAATCTGTCATCAAATTATTTCCATAAAGAAAACTCTAACACCAGAGGGTTCAATTGATAACTTTTATTAAATATTTAGAATAAGAAACATTGCCAATCTTAAAAGGGGAGATGAATTACTGATGCTACAACATGAATGAAACTTAAGAACATTATGTTAAATGAAAGAAGCCAATCACAAAAGACACATATTATGATCCCATTTGTATGAAAGGAATAGGAATATCAATTGGGACAAAAAGTAGATTAGCAATTATCTAGGTCTGGGGAGGTTGAGGTGTAGTGGACAGTGGCTGCTAACTAGTATGAGGTTTCTTTTGGGGGTTTTGAAAATGTTCTACAATTGTTTGTAGTGATGATTGCACACTTTATGAATATTAGAAAACAATGAATTATGTAATTTAAATGTATAAATTGTATAACATATGAATTATATCTAAATAATGATACTAATAAGAAAGAAAAATACATCATAAACAATGAAGTTTTCCCCAAGAATTTTTTTAAAAAAGCTATTTCAAGGGTGGGTATTGTGGTTCACACCTGTAATCCCAGCACTTTGGGAGGCTGACTGGGAGAATCACTTGAGCCTAGGAGTTCAAGACAAGCCTAGGCAATAGAGAAAGACCCTACTTCTACAAAAATAAAAAAAAAATAGCTTGGCATGGTAGTACATGCCTGTAGTCCCAGCTACTTGGGAGGCTAAGTGGAAGGATTGCTTGTGCCTGGAAGATCGAGGCTGCAGTGAGTCATCATGGCTCTGCACTCCAGCCTAAGAAACAGAGCAAGACCCTGTCTCAAAAATAAATAAAATTATTTCCATGTATGAAAATCAATGTAATTCATAATATCACCAGAATTAAAGAAGAGAGACCTTATATCATTAGATGTAGAGGGAAATTTATAAATTTTACCACCCATTAGGAAAAAAAGAAAACATTGTCAACAATGTTGGAATAGAAGGAAATTTTCTTAATAAGGGGCATATATGGAATAATTAAGTGTCTATTATAGGACTAAAATTGATGGCATACACGTCGGCATGCATACGTGTGTGCATATGTTTTTATTTTTTCTTCGTTTTCACCTCTCTTTCTTCTATAACAAGATGTTGTTGTAGTCTCTCAAAGGGATCACTTTCCTGATTGTACACTTTTTACCCTTTTTATTATTCTGGTCTTTATGAGAACTCTTTTCTGATTTCTAAGCACCTGTATGTCACAAACCAGTTTGCATTATGTGCCTCTATCTGCCATCTCACACTTGTACACTCATACTTACATGAGTTGGGGAATAGGGAATAGCTGCTATGTGCTGGTAAGAATATATGGGCCTTTCGGCATTGTGCATCTACAGGAGCTAGCAGATGTGGAACCCAAGGAAGATGCTGATTCATCAAACAGAATAGGAAGATAAAACCGTACTGAAATAGAGAACAAATGCACAATTCCAAGAGTTGGTGGGATATAAAGTATCTGTGTTCAGATGAATGAGAAGCCTGATGCAAATTTTCTATAGTAGATATTATTGTTAGCTAATTAGAGCTAACATTTGTTGGGCACTTAACATGTGCCAGCCATTATCCAAATCCCCTTTAAACATTACTTTATTTAAACTTCATAACAAATTTATGAGTTAGTATTATTTTCTCCATTAAAAAGGGAAAATGATAATCATAAAGATTAAATAACTTGGCACTATCACATGGCTTTTAAATGGATCAAGAATTAAAAACAGTCAGTGTAATTACACAATTGCAACTCATCTGCCAATATTGATATGCCTGAATTAGAGGTGACAAGAGGAAACCAACAGCTTTCCTTTCTTCAGGGCTCATAGAGTTCAGTCTTTGTATTTTCTAAAAGTTAATACTTAAAAGAGACTTCACCCATTAATACAGTTCAATCTAGTTGGATTTCTATTACCTGCTATACCAATTCATAAAATACTTGTACTATGTGGTATACAGTTAGAAATAAATCTTGTTTTGCAGAATTTTCCATGAGAGATTTTATATCTATTCTTACTCATAAATGATCTTACATTGAATATGCACATGTTGCATGCTATTTATATAAATGAGATAAGATAAACAGCAGTTCTACATTGGAGTCTATTTTTGTCCGCACTATAGCTTAATTTTCCACAGTTAGTTTAACCAGAGATATTATTTCAATTGGCTTGTTAGAATCCTTAGTTGTGTTCCTCACAGATTTTGATTTTATATGTGCAATTGCTCAGACAATGGGTTTTTGTAGCCATTGAATCTTTTATAGTGATTTCTCTAGAGATCTTGCTTTCTTTTTTTAATACGACCCTGACACCATTAACTTAAAATATGGTTGCTTAGTAATAAAATACATTGAATATGTCATGTATTCATACTTTGTAGTATGTTTGCTGCAGGTGCCTGAGAATTTTTTTTCTCACTTTTCCACTGTTTTGCAGGAGGAGTCTTTGGCATGACTGTGTTAATGTAAAAGGTATTAATTCTAGGTGATTCTAGGTATACAGACAAGCCTCCAAGATTTCAGAACCAGAGGTTTTTCAGTTTAGCTATGTCAGGTCTGTTATGTGTGTTAAATATATAGCAAGAACTAGAGCAAAGATAATAAATAGACCCAGAATTAGCCACTTAGGCATGACTGCCAGCTTTTTGCTCAAGAAAACAACAGTGTCAGGATCCATCGTGAAGTCTCCCAGAGTTCTGAGAAGCAGGGGGAAACCTGAGAGCATTTTCCATATCCAATAGAACTTTAGAAGAACTGATAATTTAGGAAAGGAAATTTCGATAATTTTTATACATATATGTTTTATAGACATTTTCTAATGTTCCACAGAACTTAAAAGTTAGGAGGTAAAATCAGTTAACCTTGCATACACTGTTTGAGATGTGAATTTAAGAAAAACAACAAAAATTCCTACTGTCCTGGGAAAAAGTAAATCAAAGAAACATGGAGTCAAGTGTCAGGGTCAGACTCTAAATTGTTCTTGCAGCTGTTAGTAGGCAGGAAGCCAAAGCCAATTATTATCTGAGTGAGAGACATGTCAATCCATCAGCCACAGCATGGTGTACTGAACATTGCCTTACGACTTTCAAATCTAGAAATAGGAAGAAAGGCCCATGTTGACAAGTGTGAGGAAATTTCCACCAATGTCCAAGATGAACAAGTGTTACCATTTTTCATTTTTCTACTATTGATAATCTGTTATCTAATCTCAGCTCCCTCCACTCTTTCTTCCATATGTAAACTCATTAACTCTGATACTGGGACTTGCTACAATATGACAAAGTTATGCCATTTTTCAAAGTGTGAAATATGTCATATACATGTACAATCTGAACCCCAAGCTGGTAGTGACATTGCGGCTTCTCTGATGGAAATTTTTAATATAATTCATAGAAAAACAGCATAAGAAACAGTATAGTTTTTATGGATCATTTTCTTTCTTTGTTTTTGAAACAAAAGAAAACATCAAATACTGATTAATGTCCTCATTTCAGAAATGCTACCCTCAGTGAACTCAACAATAAGCAGTAACTGGGAGCTTCCAGAAGATAAATATAAAATGGTCTTAGAGGAAAATAAACAACTTTTTCATTATTAAAAGCACCCTAAAGGAATTTTTGGTCTTTGAACTGAGACTGTTCTTTCATGAAGCATGAAGGATAGACACTATCTTGGATCAATTGTTTGCTTTGAAGTTAGTTTCCTTCAATTGTATGTTTTATATAACTTGACCCATCATCATAAGCCTGGGTTTGAATCCCAACAGTATGACACCCAGGTGTCTCTTAATCTTTGCACATAGTGATGTACCTTGAACCCAGAAAATCTGAGACAGGTCCCAATTAATTTAGGAAGCTTATTTTGCCAAGATCGAGGACACACCTGTGACACAGCCTCAGGAAGTCCTGATGACATGTACCCAAGGTGGTCACAGCACAGCTTGGTTTTATATATTTAGGGAGACAGGAGACATCAATCAATATATGTAAGAAGTACATTGGTTTGGTCTGGAAAGGTGAGACAACTTGAAGCAAAGGCAGGAAGACTGGAAGCAGGGAGGGAGCTTCCAGGTCACAGACAGGTGATCGACAAATGGTTACATTCTTTTGAGTTTCTGATTAGCCTTTCCAAAGAAGGCAAATTAGATATGCATCTAATTTGAATAGAATGGGAGGCAGGTTTGGCCTAAGCAGTTTCCAGCTTGAATCTTCCTTACTGATTTGGAGGCCCAAGATATTTTCCTTTCATAACCTCATAAGGATGTCGTGGGGCTCAGAACAATTTATGCATATAAAATAATCCAGTCCATATAGCTTGGTGTTTATTCAGGCTCTATAATCAGATAGACTTGGCTTTGAACCTTAGCTTCATCTCTTACTAGCTGTGTAGCCTTGAACAACTACAGAATCTCTTAAGAAGTTTAGTTTCTTTATCTGTAAAGTGGGGAAAACAATTCCCTAGCCCCCAGGGTTGTTCTGAAGTGACAGATGCTATCAAAATTTCTTATTGACATGTAAAGTAGTAGTATTTAGTATTCCCTCACTCCTATATCGTAGCATAGCTTTAGTAATGCTCATTCTCACCCTAAGATGTCTTCCTCTGTCCATCTTTTCTGCACACTGACCTTCCAGAATAGTCTTAGAATAGTCATTTTTTTTCTTTGCTGTTTGTCTTTTCAGGAGTTTGTATTAAAAGACTCCTTTATAAACAGCACACATCTGTAATCCCAGCACTTGGGGAAGCTGTGGCCGGGTGGGTTGATTAAGCTCGAGTTCGAGACCAGCCATGGCAACATGGCAAAACCCCATCTCTGCAAAAAATACAAAAATTAGCTGGGCGTGTTGATGGGCGCCTGTAGTCCTAGTTACTTGGGAGACTGAGGTGGGGAATCACTGGAACCCAGAAGGTCAAGACTGCAGTGAACCGAGATCATACTACTGCCCTCCAGCCTGGGCAACAGAGGGAGACCCTGTCTCACAAAAAAAAAAAAAAAAAAAAAAAAGACTCCTTTCTGACAAATGTGTATGGTCTAAGCTCTCAGAGGCAAAATCGTGTACCTGTTCAGTATCCTTGGAACCAACCTGAGTGGAAATACTGGCTATTACAACTATGTGATGTTTGAACAACTTAATTAAACTTTCTGCATCTCAATTTTTTTTTTTCTGTAAAAGGAGGGTAACATAGTCCTTTCCCTATAGGTCTTTGTTGTCAGGAAGCAAGATAATCATGAAACATTGAAGACAAATCTGGTATACAGAAGTGTTAAGTAAAATTAGCTAGCTTTTTCCTAATTATGAGAAAACTCCAACTATTAGAAAGTTCTTTACATTCTTATATCCTGCCTACCATAGTATTCACTTTTAATTATATAATTATATTCTGTGGCAATGATTATATCACTTTTGACAGGACACTCCTTCAACTGATGTGTCCTGGTAAAATTTTCATAGAATTTCTGTGTATTTTGCTGTATTTATGAGTCAATGTAAGATTTTAAAATTTTTAAATAATCCTGATTTTAGATATTAAAGATTGGTTCAAAAAATCTTGGATATTTTTAAAAGAAAGTGGTAGTATAAACATTTATCACCCATAAAGGAGGCTCTTTGTTTTTCCCGATTTTACTAAAAAATCTGAAGGAGTAAAATAATGAAAACTTTTCATTCAGAATATGAATGCTTCAGTATCTGCTATCTCTGCACTTCAACAGCTTTGTTAGACAGTTACGGTTAAGATCATTTGGCCTTATAAATTTGAGGACGATTTAGAGAAGATTTTTTTTCTGCAGTAAAATGCAAATAAATTTTACCAACTGCTGCATATTTTCCTTTAGGTCACAGAGGGCCTAAACTGGATGTAATATACCTTTCAGAGTAATTTCTCAGATTTTTCCCAAAAAAACACATTTTTAAGTGAAATTGCAATTCTAATTTGCTAAACAACAACAACAACAATACAAAACAATGGCAATAAGAATGACTAAGAGGAAGGACTAAACTAAGGGGAGCATGTTTGTTGCTGTTGTTGTTGCTATCCCCTGAGGATTAGTTTTTTGAGTACTGGATATTTTTTCTTTCATAGTTTCCTTGAAGAATAGTAAGGGACTTGAGTAGTCACCTTCCCAGAGATTCACTCTGAATTTGTTTGCATTGCCTGGTCCAAGTTCCTGTTTCCATAAAGAACAGCTGATTTCATGTTTATGAGAGCCCATAAAATCTAGCTCATGTACCTGATGTAGGCTCCTTTGGGGAGAATTAGTTTCTAGATAAATCTGTTCTCAGATACTTGCTCTCATGCAACCAACTGAAAATTGAAACCTATGCGACAACTTCAAACAGTGTTCCACCTCACCTTTCTAACTTGGGACACAAATATTTGTGATTACCATGATTATTACTTAATTTTTAAAGCTCTGGAGAATCCACATGGCTTAAAACCTATTAAAAAAGATAAATTATAACTATACAGAACTTATTGTGTGCCATTCACTGTGTTAATTAATTTATATTCACTCATTTAATATGGTTTGAGGTTAGTACTTGGTATGGTTTGGATCTAGGCTCAGAATGCAAGAGTAAAGGAGCCTTGACAACTTCCACCTAGATTTCAGAAGATGTACAATATGGTTTGGCTATGGGTCCCCACCCAAATCTTATGTCAAATTGCAATCCCCAGTGTTGGAGGTGAGGCCTGGTGTGAGGTGATTGGATCACAGGGGTGGGTTTCTTATGAATGGTTCAGCACCATCCCCTCAGTGCTGTTCTTGTCATAGTGAGTTATTGTGAGATCTGCTTGTTTAAAATGTGTAGCACCTCTCCACTCTCTCTCCCTCCTGCTCTGACTTACCCTTCACCTTCTGCCATAATTGTAAGTTTCCTGAGACCTCCCCAGAAGCAACAGCCATTGTTTCCTGTACACCTTGCAGAACTGTAAGGCAATTAAATGTCTTTTCTTTATAAATTACCCAGTTTCAGGTATTTCTTTAGAGCAATGTGAGAAGGGACTAATACAGTACATTTATTATTCCCCATTCCATAGGTGATACACACAGAGTAAGGGACTTCCAAAAGTCATATATATGTACACACACATGTACATACACACAATACATACATATATATACATGCATATATATATACACATATATACACAAACATATATATACACACACATATACATATATACATACATATATACGTACATATATATACATACATATATACGTACATATATATACATACATATATATGTACATACATATATATATGTACATACATACATTTAAACTCTATCTTAGACATCTGATTCTTATTAGGCTGTAACATGCCTCAAAGTGCAGCATTAGGGAAATGAGTGGAGATCTTCAATGAAGTATTAGTTTTATCTTTAAATGTTCATTGCATTTTTAACATTTGAAACTTTTTTTAGTTCTTTTTTTTTCTTTACTATGTGAGTGATTATTCCAATTTTGTTTGGACCACATGTCCAAGACTTGTTGATTATGCTGAAGTGAAGCCCAGTTCAGGGATCTGAATTCTACCTTGGAGTGTTTCTCTAGTACACTTACTACCTAGAAAATCAAAGGATGTCAAATGCAAGTACTCCTTAGAAATCACCATATGTGAAAGTAAAGACAAAAATAATTTTTGCAGGCTGGGCATGGTGGCTCATGCCTGTAATCCCAGCACTTTGGGAGGCCGAGGCAGGTGGATCACAAGGTCAAGAGATTGAGACCATCCTGGCCAACAAGGTGAAACTCCGTCTCTACTAAAAATATAAACATTAGCTGGGCATAGTGGTCTGTGCCCATAGTCCCAGCTACTCAGGAGGCTGAGGCAGGAGAATCCCTTGAACCCAGGAGGCAGAGATTGCAGTGAGCCGAGATCGTGCCACTGCACTCCAGCCTAGTGACAGAGTAAGACTCTGTTTCAAAAAAAAATTTGCAAAGAATTATAAAATATTTAACTGTATCTATAAAAAATGCTGAGATCCTATAAAGTCACTTATTTGTTGGCCATCTCTCCTAAAGTTCCATATATCAGAAAATCACAAGGGAAGGAATTTTCAAGGTGAATTAATTACAAATTTTGGGGACACAGGTAGTGACCTTATTAAGGCATTATAACCATTTACAAAATATTTTCTTATTCAGTCATTCAACCATTTGCTTTCCATGTTCTGTAGCCAGACTACATAATTTATATTGTAACTCATAATAACATTAGTATATAATATTTTATATTTTCACTCATAATTAAGTAGCTGTTACTTTGAGCACTTCATTTGAAATCTTTAAGACTTATAAAATAGAAATAATTGTTGCAAATTTTTAAAGGAGTATTAAGGACATATAATGGGAAAATACATATAAAGCACATACTATCCACTAAGGCACTAAAACTAATCTCACTCCCATCTTTCTCTTTTAAACTTGATTGTAACTTCTCCATGCTGGATACTTTAAAGACACTGCTCCCATTCATTATATCATTCCCCTATTCAAAAGCTTTCCTTTATTCTTATGATTTAAGTTTGAATTTTTCACTCTGGCATAGTAAAATTTTTAATAAATCTTGAGTCGTGCGTGCGCGCACGCGCGCGCACGCGCACACACACACACACACACACACACACACACTCACTCACAGCCCTGTCTCCCATAAAACACCTCTTTAGGTTGCAGGCCCTTCCAAAGCATCCCCTTGTTACACACCTCTAATACACAAGCTGAAACCTTCACTTCTAGCTAAACTCTACTTATCTTGCCTTCCCAGCTAAAGAGATTATTCCAACTACACAAGGTTCAGTGCACATACTTTTGCCCCAAGAAACATTTTATGATTCCTAGAATGGCATGTACCTTCCTCTCTGAAACTCTGCAGTAATTTGTATGTACTTATTTTATGGTAATTATCTAAAGTTGCCCAGCATTTTCGTGTTTTATGTATGTTTCTGATCTCTATAATTGGAAAATGAGTTTCCCGAAGAAACATGGCCTACTCAGCTTTGAATGCTTTTTAGTGTCTATCGCAGTGTATGGCAAACAATAGACATGCAATAAATAATTGGTCAAATTGAATTACAAAGCTTAGTTGTTTCATCCTCATGAAGGATGTGATAGAAGTCGCATAGCAGCTTAAATTCCCCATGAATGAATTTTTCTAGCTGCTTATTAAGGGCTATTTACTTCCACTAACAGTTGGACAGGTGGTAGGGTCATTAGACTAATTGTCTAGTTGTGGGTTCAGCTGTGCTTTTGAATGGTCAGCAATGCACTTTACTGTGGATAACTGTGTTGGAATGACTTTTGGTATTACATGTATAGTCAAATAAATGTTCATTAAAAGTAATAGAGAGCAGATGATGACTTTAATTTTCTTGTTATTTTCCATAGAATATATTGTAAGTACAGCTATTGATAAGCCAATGTGGTAAATATAAACATCATTTATATATTTTTTACTGTGGTGGTAGGAGAAGGTTCAAATTCAAGTAATCTGTAAAATCAATTCAATTGTCATATTTTACTGAAAATAAGTGACAAGTAAAACCCAGGAACAACCCTTGGAGGCCTTTGCTGGCTTAATGAGCCCTTTTGAATGGGAAGCACGAGGAGGCAAGGTGGTCAAGTAATGAGACCTTTCAATTTTCATTTTGAGGTTTAATGTCTTTATAATTAAAGAAGTTATAGGCATCAAAAATATTTTATACTTATTTTTGAAGAAAAAACAGTAATAGATTGTGTTAGTAAATGTCTTATTCCATATCTTCTTGTGGTCTAGAGTTACATTTCCAGGTTCAAACAAGCTTTCTTCTGCATTTTAAAGATTAACACACTATCATCTAGGAAACTGTGGCTTGGTTATATCAAACTGTAATTTGAGGCCAGGCACAGTGGGTCATGCCTATAATCCTAGTGCTGTGGGAGCCCGAGGTGGGAGAAACTCTTCAGGCCAAGAGTTTGAGACGAGCCTGGGCAACATAGCAAGACCCTATCTCTATAATTTTTTAAAAAACTAACCAGACAGGGTAGTGTATGCCTGTATTTCCAGATACTCAGGACACTAAGGTGGGAGGATCACTTGACCTAGGACTTTAAGGTTACAATGATGATGCCACTGCACTTCAGCATGGGTGACAGAGCAAGATCCTGTCTCAAACACACACACACACACACACACACACATACACACACACTGAACTGTAATTAATGTCTAAATTTCTGAAATACATGACATTATTGCTTCCTAAAATTAGAGAATTATTTTCATTTTAATGAAGACACATTTCAGTGTGTCTTTTCATAAGGTATTTGCAAGTAGATCTGCACTGAACATTCTAGCATTACATAAAATGTAGGGAGGCCCTTATTCCCAATTTATCTATCAACAAAAGAATTTGCAGTTTTTTTTTTTCATTATTATACTTTAAGTTCTAGGGTACATGTGCACAACATGCAGGTTTGTTACATATGTATACATGTGCCATGTTGGTGTGCTGCACCCATTAACTCATCATTTACATTAGGTGTATCTCCTAATGCTATCCCTCTCCGCTCCCCCCACCCCACGACAGGCCCTGGTGTATGATGTTCCCCATCCTGTGTCCAAGTGTTCTCATTGTTCAATTCCCACCTATGAGGGAGAACATGTGGTGTTTGGTTTTCTGTCCTTGTGACAGTTTGCTGAGAATGATGGTTTCCAGCTTCATCCATGTCACTACAAAGGACATGAACTCATCCTTTTTTACAGCTGCATAGTATTCCATGGTGTGTATGTGCCATATTTTCTTAATCCAGTCTATCATTGATGGACATTTGGGTTGGTTCCAAGTCTTTGCTATTGTGAATACTGTAGCAATAAATATACGTGTGCATGTGTCTCTATAGCAGCATGATTTATAATCCTTTGGGTATATACCCAGTAATGGGATGGCTGGGTCAAATGGTATTTCTAGTTCTAGATCCTTGAGGAATCACCACACTGTCTTCCACAATGGTTGAACTAGTTTACAGTCCCACCAACAGTGTAAAAGTTGTTTCTATTTCTCCACATCCTCTCCAGCAACTGTTGTTTCCTGACTTTTTAATGATTGCCATTCTAACGGGTGTGAGATGGTATCTCATTGTGGTTCTGATTTGCATTTCTCTGATGGCCAGTGAGGATGAGCATTTTTTCACATGTCTGCTGGCTGCATAAATGTCTTCTTTTGAGAAGTGTCTGTTCATATCCTTTGCCCACTTTTCAATGGTGTTGTTTGATTTTTTCTTGTAAGTTTGTTTAAGTTCTTTGTAGATTCTGGATATTAGCCCTTTGTCAGATGGGTAGGTTGCAGAAATTTTCTCCCATTCTGTAGGTTGCCTGTTCACTCTGATGGTAGTTTCTTTTGCTGTGCAGAAGCTCTTGAGTTTAATTAGATCCCATTTGTCAATTTTGGCTTTTGTTGCCATTGCTTTTGGTGTTTTAGACATGAAGTCCTTGCCCATGCCTATGCCCTGAATGGTATTGCCTAGGTTTTCTTCTAGGGTTTTTATGGTTTTAGGTCTAACATGTAAGTCTTTAATCCATCTTGAATTAATTTTTGTATAAGGTGTAAGGAAGGGATACAGTTTCAGCTTTCTATATATGGCTAGCCAGTTTTCCCAGCACCATTTATTAAATAGGGAATCCTTTCCCCATTTCTTGTTTTTGTCAGGTTTGTCAAAGATCAGATGTTTGTAGATGTGTGATATTATTTCTAAGGACTCTGTTTGGTTCCATTGGTCTATATCTCTGTTTTGGTACCAGTACCATGCTGTTTTGGTTACTATAGCCTTCTAGTATAGTTTGAAGTCAGGTAGCTTGATGCCTCCAGCTTTGTTCTTTTGGCTTAGGGTTGTCTTGGCAATGCGGGCTCTTTTTTGGTTCCGCATGAACTTTAAAGTAGTTTTTTCCAATTCTGTGAAGAAAGTTATTGGTAGCTTGATGGGGATGGCATTGAATCTATAAATCACCTTGGGCAGTATGGCCATTTTCACAATATTGATTCTTCCTATCCATGAGCATGGAATGTTCTTCCATTTGTTTGTGTCCTCTTTTATTTCATTGAGCAGTGGTTTGTAGTTCTCCTTGAAAAGGTCTTTCACATCCCTTGTAAGTTGAATTCCTAGGTATTTTATTCTCTTTGAAGCAATTGTGAATGGGAGTTCACTCATGATTTGGCTCTCTGTTTGTCTGTTATTGGTGTATAGGAATGTTTGTGATTTTTGCACGTTGATTTTGTATCCTGAGACTTTGCTGAAGTTGCTTATGAGCTTAAGGAGATTTTAGGCTGAATATAGCCAATTCTCATTATCTGTATATTTTATGTTTGCAAATTTACTTACTAAATTTATTTGGAATTCCAAAATTAGTACACATGACATTTTTGCAGTTCATGGATGTGTGAGGAGTGGAGAAAAGTTTGAGTTTCCTGGCAGGCACATTCTCAGCTGTTGATGAATAAGGCAAATGTCTGGTTCTTATTTTAGCTTTCATACTGTAAACATATTCTTTTCATGGTCTATTTTTCATATTTTTGTGATGTTGGTGATTTTGCTCTTCAAAATGTTCCCCCAGCATAGTGCTTAACTGTTATCTGATATTGCTAGGTGCAAGAAGGCTGCAATGTGCCTTACAAAGAAAATCCATTTGTGTAGGCATGAGTTATAGTAGCATTTGAGTTCAATGTTAATGAATCAACAATGTATATTAAATAAAATATATTAAAAATACAAACATAAAGCAAGGTTATCCATTAATTGGTTGACAAAAATATTGTGACTGTTGGCTTTTAGGAAACTAACTCTATGTTTTCCCCAAGAAAAGTTGTTTGGTATTCACTAGGTCAGTGTTCACAGTGACTGTATAGAGTGTAACTACTGAGAATAAGGAGAATCAACTATGTTTTATGAATTTATCCCCTACTTCTGATTACCAAGTCAGGATAAAACTAAAACTGTGCTCTGCTTATCTCTACTTATCTCTGACCTTTTACTGCAGCGCATTGCAGTTGTCCCTCTCTCTCCTTTGCCTAATAGACACAATCTGTGCCAGGCATTTTGCATATACTGGTAGTAGCTCATTTTATCCCATCACAACTGTAATTCCATGGATAAAAAGCATTGTATTCCATTTATATATTAAAAACATTAAGGAATTATTATTAACAATTATTAAAGCTTCTTAAAAAAGGAATTGTAATATCCCATGTGGATCTACAGATCTGGATGTAGAGAAACTAGCATTCTTCAGGATTGATAGATTATGAAATGCTAGCACACACATACAGATGTGTGCACACAAACATGCAGATACACATAATCACACATAAACATAAGGCATTATGCAGGGTAGATCAAATCAGTCTCTTGTCTTGTAATTTGTGTATAACTACAAAAATATCTAATGTAAGCAAATCTTTCTGTAATGCATAATGGAAGATTATCTCAATAAGTGTTAACTGAGAATCTACAGAATTAGTAACATTGTATAAAGCATTGTAAGGTATAAACACATTTGGACATAGACTTTGCCCTAAAGCACTTTATAGACTAGCAGCCTACATACAGTTAAAATAGCTAAAGAAAAGGAAGCATTCCAATCAGTATTTCTATATGTTTGGTCATTAGGAAACATTGGGATGGGTTACTGGAGGTTTCCCTATTCATTGCCATGATTTAAATTAGCTGATTTAATTAAGTGCAAGGTAATTTTAAATTGTAGAATTCCATAATGCAGACTGACCACTACAACTTCCCAGGAAAACCCCAGAGGTTCTTAGTTTTTTATTAGATCACCTCAATTTACCACACAGTCTTTCTAGGTAAGGTTGTTCCAAACACCTAGTGATTTCCTACCATCTGTGTTTTTTATTATGCTCCATCTGAAATTGTATGCATCCTTTTTGTTACTAGCTCTCCAAGTGCTGATCACTCCATGGGACTTTTATTTTTTTCTCAGCATCTTTGGACATGAAGTTGGCCTAGCTGATGAATTTTTTATCTCTACAATTATCTAGCCAGGGGATAGATGTTAGTCTCCCTTCTTAAAGGCAAGTCCCTTATTCAAGTTAGTCTCCATGTGGTGACAGGAAAATACCTTTCCTCCCACTGTATACCCACATATTTCCTGGGAAGACAAGAGAAATGCACAGACTCACCATGTAGCAAGCAATGCTCTTGCTAAAAATTTTTCTTTAAAAAAATTTTGTTTTTCCATATAAAATCTAAGGTAGGATAAAGGCTAAAAAAATGCAAGAACTGTCTTGGTTACCTCCTTGCTAGTCTTTTCTTTAGAACTTGTGATTTTGGTGGGTGTGGGGAGGAGAGATTTATCACCTCCTATTCTTGGATTTGATTGGAAAAGTTTTACTTTTATCAAGAATCTCAGTGTCTATAGATGAGCTAAACATCATTCTGAAATGTGAATTGCTTCACTGTAAAAGTAAAATTATGATTTTTTTCCATTCTCTGCAGACTTTTATAAGGGCAAAACTGAGTTTGGATCTATAGCAGAGTCCTGTCATTGCAATTGCTTAGAATGTGATAAAAATAAGTTTAGATGCAAAAAAATGATTTAGTACATTTGAGCCACTTGGCCAACAGTTGTCGTGGTCTCTATTAGTCTGTTTTCATGCTGCTGATAAAGACATATCTGAGACTGGGCTATTTACAGAAGAAAGAGTTTTAATGGACTTACAGTTCCATGTGGCTGTGGAAACCTCAAAATCATGGAGGAAGGCAAGGAGGAGCAAGTCATATTTTACATGGATGGCAGCAGGAAAAGAGAGAGAGCTTGTGCAGGGAAACCCCGATTTTTAAAACCATCAGATCTCATGAGACTTACTCACTCTTACAAGAACAGTACAGGAAAGACCGCCTCCATGATTCAATTACCTCTCACCTGATTCCTCCCATGAAACGTGGGAATTATGGGAGTACAATTCAACATGAGATTTGTGTAGGGACACAGCCAAGCCATATCATGATCCAACATTTGTTAAGATAATTAAGAAAATACATGTTGAGTAAGAGAACTTACACACCCACAACTGTAGCAGGAGACATATTGCTCTTCCCTGAGGCACATATGATGCTAAATCCTGGTTTTAGTCCTGACATAGTCCTGAAGGAAAAGAAAAGTAACTAGCTCCTAGTGCCTCCCAAGGCCAAATGAGATTATATTGATGGTGTTTGTGCAAAACTTCAAATCTTCCAGCATAAGCCTGAGATACCAAGTTTGCCCATAGTTAATTTACATCATAGGTAGATGAAATGTACAATACAGACTGGTGGACTATTATACTGAAGGTTCCTCAAAGAACATACCTCCAGACGAGGCAGAAAAACATTTCATAAGTACTAGAAGAAGGTAATCAGAGCTAGTGTGGTTATACTTATCAAAAGAAAAAAGAGAAAAAGTTTTATTTTTATCAGGATAATTTCACTAGGCTACTTTGGGAACTAGCAATTTTTCCTCCACTGTTAGAATAAATAGGCTTATTTTGCTCTATCTAGATGTTATCCCAGAAGTAGTAGCATAGGATAAACTTTTCAAAAACTTTTCTTTTCTTTTCAAAAATGAAGCAATTTGTGCTGTTCAAAAATTCTAGTTGGTACCTTTAAGAAAGTATAAATGTGGAGAAAAAAATGTAACACATTCTCTTTTATGGTAATGGCTTCCAGGTAATTTCAGAAGAAGTTTTAAAATTCCACAAGAATTCCTCCTCTTAGGACTGTGGTTTTAAGCAAAGGTGAGAAAATCAGGCTACACGATTGTTACTCAGTTGAAATATGAAGGCTTTTATTTGTTAGTTTTTATTTTGTTTAATCTGTGTGTTCCCAGTAGAAAAAATATGCTTCATTTAGTTAGGAAAAATTGTGACTATGTTTGTGTCTCATTATGTTAACTGGCAAATATTTTCATTTGCTTTCCAGGGGAAAAGAAAAACTAACAAAAGTGTACAGTCACCAAGTAGTTATTTTCCTACAGTAGACAAGAATACCTTTTTTCACTATATACCTTTTTTCTTTTCAAGAGAACAGAAAGTGTTTGAGGAACACTAATGTACCTGGAAGCTTCAGGGTGATAGAAACTCAGTTATCAAGGCTCTTATCTCTGCTTGGAGGCTCCATTTTGGTACACATCAGTGATTTCTACAGCATTTATTGTAATTAATTGTATATAGATTCTACTTATCCTAACTCCACAAAGCAGTTTCAGGTCAGTAAAACAGATGGTTAAGCACAATTAGTTTTTTGGAAGAACTATAAATATAGTCACTTCTTTCCTCTGGTGTCTTACTGCCATGTTGTCTAAGTGTATCATAGAGGGAGCTCAATAGAAAACCATTTATAGGACCTAGTTCTTCCTCTTTTTTTATCCTTGGAAAGTTGATGACTTGTCATTATGTTAATAGTCTCAATTTATATTTTGCAAAGTGCACTAACTAGAAAGTAAGTTTGCATGTCTAAGCAGCTGATATTTTTTCATTGTGGACCATGTGTTTTAGTGTTAATGAAAAACTAGGTTTATTTCAAACTTGATAAGAGAATAATTTTAGACAAAAATTATTTTGGAAAGTAAATGTTTTTCAGCCTTTTCCAAGATTACTCTCTAGGAAAAGAGGATATTAATCTGCTTGATAAAGGGTGCTGTTCATATGGCTGTTGATTCATCTAAAGGCTTTGCTTCCTTGGATACTACAACTAGATCAATCAATCCAATCAATGACTACTTTGCTAACAAATGCTATTAAAAATAATGAAAGGTATGTTCCAAGAGAAGCATAATTTATATATCATTTTTCTTACTGAAAGTAAGAGGACCTTAAAACATTATGTATTATAAAGATCTGTAACAGCACATCTGGTAGTAAGTGATGATAAGCCACTTTTGTGCTGATTGCCTCACTTATCTGTGCCAAAGCTACCTCTTTTTCTTTTTTCTTTTTTTTTTTTTTTTTTGAGACGGAGTCTCGCTCTGTCGCCCAGGCTGGAGTGCAGTGGCGGGATCTCGGCTCACTGCAAGCTCCGCCTCCCGGGTTCACGCCATTCTCCTGCCTCAGCCTCCCAAGTAGCTGGGACTACAGGCGCCCGCCACTACGCCCGGCTAATTTTTTGTATTTTTAGTAGAGACGGGGTTTCACCATTTTAGCCGGGATGGTCTCGATCTCCTGACCTCGTGATCCGCCCGCCTCGGCCTCCCAAAGTGCTGGGATTACAGGCGTGAGCCACCGCGCCTGGCCACCTCTTTTTCTTAAACAATAAATTCTTTTCATTCCCTTGAGGGTTCTTATTTGAGCACAGAAAGACATTTCCCAGCATTCCTTATAGTTATGCTGAGGCCCACTAACTGGGTTCTGGTCAATAGGATTTGGGCAATATTCACAGTTCAAATACAAGCTTAATTTTTGAATAAAAATATTTCTGCCAGTCATTGAAAATATTTTCTGATTTTTTAACATCATTATACAGTCCTCTTCAAATTTTATTGTTAGTCAGTCTCAGCACAGGGTCAACACCACTTTCATATCACAAGTAACCCAAAGAGGAACATGCTTGTAGGAAGCATAAGTGTCAGCCACCCAAAAGTAGATATCAGAAATCATTTAAAAATAGATACATTGTAAAATTTAGCATTGAACATAGGTATCTTTTTAGCGGTAACAATTGGTGCTCACCCAACTCTTTCAATTACCTCTTCCTTGACATATGATATTTCCTAGTCCTCTTTGCAGTTTTATTTTGGAGTGAAGTGACTTGGCTCTGGCCAGTGGGACTTGAGCAGGAGTAATATCCAAGCCTGTCTCTTAAAATGTACCACAAGATACTTCACTTTTTCTTTTATTTTCTTTCCTCTTCATTCTTGACTATATATTCATGATGATACAGCTACAACACAGATAGCATCTCTGTCAGTCTTGTTTACTAAGTGGCTGTGTGGAGCAAAGTACCACTCCTTCCTCCCACTGATATTCATTGGATCCATAAGACAAGCATTAAATGCATTCTTACTTAGTTAAGCCACTGAGATTGGGGTTTAATTTGTTTCTACATCATAGATAAGCCTATCCTGATTAATATAAAATGACAGATGTTACCAATATGTCAACCCTAGTATTGAAATATAATGTGCTTCAGCATAATAAGAATTCTAGGCTGGGTGCGGTGGCTCACACCTGTAATCCCAGCACTTTGGGAGGCTGAGGTGGGTAGATCATCTGAGGTCAGGAGTTCGAGACCAGCCAGGCCAACATGGTGAAACCCTTTTTCTACTAAAAATACAAAAATTAGCCAGGCGTGGTGGCACTTGCCAATAATCCCAGCTACTCAGGAGGCTGAGGCAGAAGAATCGCTTGATTCTCCACCGGGAGGTGGAGTTTGCAGTGAGCTGAGATTGTGCCACTGCACTCCGGCCTGGGCGATAGAGTGAGACTCTGTCTCAAAAAAAAAAAAAAAAAAAAAAAGCTAAAGACCGGGGCACAGTGGCTCAGGCTGGGCACAGTGGCTCACGCCTGTAACGCCTGTAACCCCAGCACCTTGGGAGGCTGAGGCGAGCAGATCACCTGAGGTCAGGAGTTTGAGACCAGCCTGACCAACATGGAGAAATCCCATCTCTACTAAAAATACAAAATTAGCTGGGTATGGTGGCGCATGCTGTAATCCCAGCTACTCAGGAGGCTGAAGCAGGAGAATCACTTGAACCTGGGAGGTGGAGGTTGCGGTGAGCCAAGATCGTGCCATTGCACTCCAGCCTGGGCAACAAGAGCAAATCCCCGTCTCAAATAAAAGAATTCTATGTATAATGCTATTTTGATGAAGAAAATATTAGGGTGAAGACAGCAGAGATCTTTTGAGGAAGGTGCTTATAAAAATATTCCATCTCAAGGGTATGTTAACTGGGTTTGTGTTTTGCTTTAGTGACTATGCCTTTATCTTTTGAAGTACTCTCCTATGTAGTAGTAGGGGAAGGCTGACACCCAGCATTAGCTGCCTTATTAGGTTGGGTTTTCTGGTTTGAGGCTATTTTTCTGAGTATGTCTTTAATCATTAGTAGAAATGCCAACGTTCTTCTGTTTATCATCTCTCAAGTGATTGCATAAATTTAGCCAAGTGCTAAACCTCTCAGTTTCTGTTCATTATAGATCATACCCTATTGCTTGTTTGTTTTACTTTGCTTAGAAATGGCTTGGAGAATTCATGGATTTCATGGGGCAACTAAATCACCAGAAATTGTATGCAATACTTTGGTTTATATTTATATTTTCAGATTGAGTGGTTCTAGAATTTTCATCACAGGAGCTAATCAGAATAAGCAATCATTGTGAATTATGTCTTTTGCTACATATGAACCATAATCTCAGTGAATCTGGAAAATTGGCTCAACACCAATTTGTTGAAGCAAGCACACACAGCAGCCCCCTGAAATGAACTATAAATTTATGGAGATACAAAAGTAGAAAAGTAATGAATATGTGGTCAAATATTTCTAATGTAACTGAAAGTGGTTGTGATGAACCTGTTGGAGAGTGAATTTATTAGAATCCTAGTCCTTTTTTTTTTTTTTTTTTTTGAGTCAGTGTCTGGCTCCATCACCCAGGCTGCAGTGCAGAGGCACAATCATAGCTCACCATAGCCTCGAGCTCCTGGGCTCAAGTGATCCTCTCAGCTCACCCTCCCTTTTAGTTGGGACTATGGCATGTGCCACCATGCCTGCCTAATTTTTTTATGTTTTTATTTTATTTTTTTATTTTTTTGGTAGAGGCAGGGTTTCACCATGTTTCCTGGGCTGGTCTCAAGCTCCTGGGCTCAAGCAATCATCCTACTTCAGCTTCCCAAAGTGTTGGGATTACAGGCATCAGTCACTTCACTCAGGCCCTAGTAAAATTTTGAAATAAGAAGTAAGCTATATCTATGAACAAGATGTCTATATTAACTTATTTTTTTGCATTATATCTAAGTATTATTAATATAATGTGATATACTAAGATAGCCCAGAGAAAAAAACACGTGTTGAGGCATAAACTCATTTTCAAAAATAAGCTTCTATAAAACTGACATAGTGATGCCTATCATAATTCAATAGAAATTTATATCATTTTAGGAGACTTAGTAGCTTTAGATAGATGTAATTTTTTCATCATTACCAACCACAACATCTTATTTATTTTTAAATTGTGATGGGTTTTGCCTTATTTGTGTTCTTATCTACTATATTGCAAACATCAAAAGATGTTGAAAAGAGTTATGATGTACTGAATATTTGTGTTCCCTTCAAATTCATTGGTTAAAGACCTAATCCCCAACATGATTGTATTAGGAGGTGGGGCCTTTGGTAGGGAATTAGGTTTAGACGGAGTCCTGAGACTGAAGCCCCCATGATGGAATTAGTGCCCTTATAAGAAAGAGGAGGAGATACCAGAGATTCTTCTCTCAGAGAGAACACAGACTCTGCAAATATAGAAGAGCATCCAGATTTGAAAGAGCCAGCACCTTTAACTTTGGCTTTCTAGACTTCAGTCTGTGAGAAATACATGTTTGTTATTTAAGCCGCCAGGTCTATAGTATTCTGGTATAGTAGCCCAGACTGACTGTTGGTATTTCCTATCATCTAATGCACACTTGTTTTTCCACTCAACCAAGAATTAGAGTCTGGTTGTCTGAAAGGGCATAAAGATTGACTCAATGACAATTCTCTCCTACTCATCATGTCCCACCTGTCCTGGTAAGACCCTCTTCCTTAGGCACTCAGCCTATCCTATCATTTACAAGTGAGGTGCCATATTTGGCTATGAAAATCAGAAATAGAAATACAGTTTTGTAATTAAGTGGAAATAGCAGAATTCTTGCATGTTATAAAATGTTTGTAACTTTAGTATATTTAGTTTAATAAATGTATATTATTAATTATGAGTAGATTTTTGCTCACTACAGGAAAACAGAGATAAATAAGAGACATATTATACCCCAAGAAGATGAATAAATAAGAGTGTGAGGAAATAATTATACAAGTAGCTGGAGTTCCTGGCAGGGGTAAAATATGACCCCAAAGAAAATATAGAGTTATTTAAATTTCAAATTAGTAGTGATATACAGTGAATTATTTTGTCTCCCTAAAATTATATGTTGAAACTTAATCCCCAATGTTATGGTATTTGGAGGTGGGGCCTTTGTGAGGTAATTAGGTCATGAGAGTAGAGCACTCATGAATGGGATCAATGTTCTTATAAAGTAGGCCTTAGAGAGTTTCCTCACCCCCTGTCATCATGTGAGATACAGTGAGAAGATGGCCGTCTGTGAACCAGGAAGCTGGCCCTCAACAGACATGAAATCTGTTGCCACTTTGATCTTGAATTTCCTAGCCTCCAAAACATGTAAAGAATAAATTTCTGTTATTCATAAGCTAACTAGTTGGCATGGTTTGGCTCTATGTTTCCACCCAAATCTAATGTCAAATTATAATCCCCACATGTTGGAAAAGGGCCCTGGTGGGAGGTGACTGAATAACAGGGTTGGACTTCTCCTTTGCTCTTCTCATGATAGCCATGATAGCAAATGAGTTCTCATGAGATGTGGTTGTTTAAAAGTGTATAGTGCTTCCGCCTTCACTCTCTCTCCTGCTGCTATGTGAAGACATTCTTGCTTCTCCTTGATCTTTTCCACCATGGTTGTAAGTTTCCTGAAGACTCCACAGTCATGCTTCCTGTACAGCCTGAAGAACTGTGAGCCAATTAAACCTCTTTTCTTTAAAATTACCCAGTTTCAGGTAGTTCTTTATAGCAATGTGAGAACAGACTAATACAGAAAATTGGTACCAGAGAAGTAGGGCATTGCTATAAAGATAATTGAAAATGTGGAAGTGATTTTGGAACTGGTAATGGGCAGAGGCTGGAACAGTTTGTAGGACTCAGAAGAAGACAGGAATATGAGGGAAAGTTTGGAACTTCCTAGGGACTGCCTGAATGGTTGTTACCAAAAGACTGAGAGTAATATGGACAATGAAGTCCAGGCTGAGGGAGTCTCAGATGGAGATGAGAAACTTATTGGGAAGTGGAATAAAGGTCTTTCTTGCTATGCTTTAGCAAAGAGACTGGCAGCATCGTGCCCCTGCTCTAGGGATCTGTTGAACTTTGAATTTGAGAAAGGTGATTTAGGATATCTGGCAGAAGAAACTTCTAAGCAACAAAGTGTTCATCAGGGTGTCAAGGTGTGGCCTGGCTGCTTCTAAAAGCCTATGCTCATTTGCATAAACAAAGAAATGACCTGAAACTGAAACTTATATTTAAAAGAGAATCAACGTAATAGTTTGGAAAATTTGCAGACTGACCATATGGTAGAAAAGAAAACCTCATTTTCTGGGGAGGAATTCAAGCGGGCTATAGATATTTGCATAAGTAAAGAGCTGAATGTGAATAGCCAAGACAATGGGGAAAATGCCCCTAGAGCATTTCAGAGACCTTTGTGGCTGCCCCTCCCATCACAGGCCTAGAGTCCTAGGAAAAAATAATGGTTTTGTGGGTCAGGCCCAGGGCCCCACTGCTCTGTGCAGCCTCAGGATATGGTACCCTGTGTCTTAGCCACCCTAACACCAGCCATGGCTAAAGCGTCAAGGTACAGCTTGAGCTGTTGCTTCAATGGGTGCAAGCCCCAAGCCTTGGCAGCTTTCACATAGTGTTAAGTCTGTGCATGAACAGAGTGCCTAGATTTCAGAGGATGTATGGAAACACCTGGATGTCCAGGCAGAAGTCTGCTACAGGGGCAGAGCCTTCCTGGAGAACTTCTACTGGGGAAGTGCAGAGAGGAAATAAGGAATTGGAACTCCCATACAGAGTCCCCACTGGGGCACTGCTTAGTGGAGCTGTAAGAAGAGGGCTACCAACCTCCAGACCCAGAATGTTAGATCCACCAATAACTTGCACCATGTGCCTGGAAAAGCTGCAGGCACTCAGTGCCAGCTTGTGGAAGCACCCATGGGGTCTGTACCCTGGAGAGCCACAAAAGCAGAGCTGTCCAAGGCCTTGGAAGCCTGCCTCTTGTGTCAACATGGCCTGTATGTGAGACATGAAGTCAGAGGAGATTATTTTGAAGCTTTAAGATTTAATGACTTCCGTGATGGGTTTTGGACTTTCATGGGGCCTGTAGCCCTTTTGTTTGGTTGATTTCTCCCTTATGGAATGGGAGCATTTTGCCAATGCCTGTACCCCCACTATATCTTCAAAGTAACTAACCTGTTTTTCTATTTTACAGGCTCATAGGTAGAAGGGACTTGCGTTTTCTCAGATGAGACTTTGGACTTGGACTTTTGAGTTAATGCTGAAATGAGTTAGGACTTTGGAGGACTGTTGGGAAGGCATAATTGTGTTTTGAAATGTGAGAAGGACATGAGATTTGGGAGGGGCCAAGGGCAGAAAGATATGGTTTGACTTTCTATCCCCACTCATATCTCATGTCGAATTGTAATTCCCACATGTTTGAGGAGGAGCTTAGTGGGAGGTGACTGAACCCTGTGGGCATACTTCTCCCTTGCTGTTCTTATGATAGCGAGTTAGTTCCCACGAGATCTTCTTATTTAAAAGTGTGTAGCACTTTCCCCTATGCTATCTATTTTACCACCATGTGAAGAGGTGCTTGCTTCCCCTTTGCCCTTTCAACTTAATTGTAAGTTTCCTGAAACCTCTCCAGCCATGTGCCTCCAGTGCAGCCTGTAGATCTGTGAGCCAAACCTCTTTTCTTTATAAATTACCCAGTCTCAGGTAGTTCTTTATTGCAGTGTGTGAACAAACTAATACTCTATTCTGTGGTAATTTGTTATAGCAGCCTAAACAGACTAAGAGAAATATTAATTTACTCTAATGATAAGAACAAGGGAAGGTTTCTTAGAGAATGGTGTAGGGTTCAGTGGGCAGCGCTAATAGAATTGAAATCTAAGAACTTTTGAAAAAGGCAAGTAGAGTTTGAGTTCCTACTTGCACTCCTATCTCTACACTTTCTGTAGGCTTCTCACTGTAAGTATAATAGGGAGTCATGACAAAGTACACATCTTATGTCTTGTCTTAGGTGTAAATTAAACAGTAGGAGGAAAGTCTGAGGGGTATCTAGTCACCCATCTATGATCATAGCAGTGGTTACTGTATAAACTGTTTGATTTGCTAAGTACTCTTTCTACTTATCAAGGTAAATTTAATTTGGGATTAAACACAGAAGTAGAAATTGAGATCCATACTATTGGGAGGTTTCTCAAAAAAGCCATGAGGATGTGGCCTCCTGAATTTGATAATAAAATCCCACACTTAGAAGTCTCCAGTAAAAGGTGATTGGGGATCAGATACAAAGTTACAGTTACAAGGAAGTAGTGCTGGTGTTCTGTTGCATAGTAGGGTGACTGTAGTTAACTATAAGGTATATTTCAAAATAACCAGAAAAAAAAGGACTTTGAATGTTCTTACCACAAAGAAAAAATCATCGTTTGACATGATGGATATGCTAATTACCCTAATTTGATCATTATGCCGTATGTGCATGTACCAAAATGTCTACGTTGTACCCCATAAATGTGTGTAATTATTAAATGTCAATATAAATAAAACTTTAAAAAATTGAAAAAGTATCAATAAATAAGAGCAATTAAAAAAAGATAATAGCCATTAATTTTCATTGATAGTATCGTGTGAAGAAAGAGAAATGAACACAGTGACTTAAATTAACTCATTTAATTTTCAACTATCTTTTTATGTAGATGCTACTATTATCCCTATTTTATGGAAGAGGAAACTAAGGCACCAAGTAATGTTGGTGGCCATACTAGCAAGGGGTTAATACTTAAGAAGGGTACCCAAAGTCTGACAGCTGCTGTCAGCTGGAAACTAAGCAGCTTGGAAACTAAGCACTCTGACTTTTAGCTCCATCAATGCAATTTATTAAATGCCCACACATTTTTGGAATAATGGCCTTTAATTTGTTTATAATGAGTATTACAATGTAGAAATTTTCAGTAGATCCTCATTAATCCAAACGCACAAATTTCTGCAAGAATGTTTAAAAAGAGAGATGACAGTTTTATGAATGAGAAGTGACACCTATTAGCTAACTTCTTACAATTCAGTTATAGCTGGAAATAAACCAAAGAGCATATTTGAGTTATTAACAGAGAAAATTCATTTGGATCATATTCCTGTCTTAATGGGGCTCAAATTATCCTGAGGGGTGAATAAATCATCCCATGTACGAAAAATGGTTCTTGAATAAGCCAGATTCTTTTTCAGTTCAGAACTTCATAAAAGTGAAGAACAGAGAGTTAACAGAAAATTATCTGTTATCTTCTGAATAATATGAAATATATGGCACCCAGAAATACCAAACTGATTTGAAAACTTGGCAATAAAAGGAAAAATAAACATCATTTTGTGTGGTAATGAAAAATGCTGATCGATGTTTTTAATGTTAATCCTGAGTTCAGAGCATCAGGTAAATCTGGATTATATGCCAGAAGCTGAAATTCAAGCAGGTTGTCAATCTGTTAAGGTTTGGGGGCAGAGATCAGAATTTGGTACAACTGAAGTGCTGGACTCTGCAGGGCAGGAGGAGACAGGAAGAGCTATGTGGATAGGATCACAATACATTTATGCATGGGCTTTTCATAAGTCCTTGACCTAATTCTGGACTCAACATTTGCACAATAATAGCACCTGGGCTATGCTGAGAATAGGTGCTTCAGTGTTGAGAGCAAAAATAGAGATACTAGAGGTGAATCACTGCTGAGGAATGTTGCTGGCTATACTAGCAAGGGGTTAGTGACATTAGGTAATATCCTGGGAAGCTACCTCAAACACCAGAGACACATTGATTTAGAAGTACTAGGCATACCCTAGGGCAAGTTTCTCAGTCTTAGCACTATTGGTATTTTGGCCTAGGTAATTCTTTGTTGTAGGCTCCTACCCACTAGATGCCAATAGAGCTTTCCCTATTTGTGGCAGCCAAAAATGTCTCCAAACATTGCCAACTCACCTCTGGTTGAGACAACTGCTTTGGACTAACACAAAGTCTAAAACCAAGTACAGACAAGATCTGTAAGGGAAACAGAAGTGGGCGATTGAGTCCTGCTGAGAGGGGATTGGGAAATACTTTGTGCTTTCCACAAAGCTACAATAAGAAAGCTTAAAATTGATCCTACAAAAGATCTAGGAGATCAGCCAGTAATCGAAGTCCATAATGCAATAAAATTAACATTCTTCAGAAGAAAGATAATAGAATCCAGAATCTCTGTACTATGTCATCATAATATTCAGTAGATAAACAAAGAGTACTTAACATGAGAATAAACGTGAAAACAACATATTGCTAAAGAAAAAAACTGTCAAAAGAATTCAACCACCAAATGACTCAGATATTGATAAAATAGATATTTTAAAGTAGCTGTTATACATAGGGTCAAAAATTATTTACTCTTCTATGCTGCCACATTCAATCAAATTTAGAAGTATCAAAGGAAATTATACAAAATTTGGTCTTAGAGAGTGGAAAAATAGAAAATTAGAGCAAAGATATAGAAAGTCTCCAATAGAACCTAATAGAAATTATATATGTTAAAAGTTGAATAACTTTTTAAATCACTACTTATAAGCATACTGATTATGGAGATTGGGAATGGCTGAAGACTTAGTCAACATGAAGACAGGTGAAAAGAAATCAACCCATCTGAAAAAGAGAGGAAATAAAGAAGCTGCAGGTATCTGGTGACAATATCCAATGATTTAACCTAACTGTATATGAAATACTAGAATAATATAAATATGAGAATGGGAAAAATAATGAACAAGATTTTTCAAAATCTGATAAAAATTTATTCACTTACTGTCCCAGAATCCTTAGTTAACCAAAATCAGGATAAATTAAAACACACACACACACACATACACACACCCATATACACAAACTCTCCTAAACATATTACATTATAGAGTAACTAGCAACAAGACCAGTCATACTTTAGAGACTTAGCACTTCATGATAATAAATGTGCTATACTTGCTTTGGAGTGTCTGTACTGCATTTCATGTGATAGATAAATGAATATCAATTTTATTTAAATAACTCTTTAAGTAGACAGATCTCCTTATTAGAGCAGCTGAAACAATCCTTATAAGTATTGGATAGATACAGATATTTAGGAATTAAAACCAGAGTTTTGCAATCGATCATCTGACTGTAGAGAGGAAAGAGGAATAAGTGAAATATTTTATCTTAAGAAAACTGGAAAGTTGATTATATTAATAAGAATGTGAATCAATTTGGAGGAAAATGATGAAATCTTACTGAAATATATTGAATTTGAGAATCTTAAGGATATTTAGGTGGTGAGGTAGAGTCAACATGGATATAAGCCTATAGTAATAAAATGATTGGCAAAGGTAAACACTGACAGTTTAGCCTTTGTAAAACTTTAAAATTCTTTACCTAAAAAATTAACCTAATGTGCCTTCCACTTCTTATTGATCAGAATTGACCTTTCAGCTGGCTGAACATATATGGTATGAGTGAATCAATGTGACCAGGGCCCAGGTTTAGTCCAGAATGCCTAAGTGGGTAGATAGAAAGTGACAAGTCTGAGACCCACCAGGTGGAGATCATTGGGGGACAGTGTGTCCGATATGAACTTTGGGCAATTCAAACTAGAAGTGTAAGTACATACACTGGTACTGAGCCAGTAAGTATAAATGTATTGAGAATAGTGGGATCTTAGTTGCCAGGTTTCTCACTTTCAAAGAAGGGCCTTACAAATGTAGAAATCAACAAGGCAGAATAAATGCTGCAACGTTCAATCAAATTTAGAGGTATCAAAGTGAACTCCTAGTTGTATGATAGATAGATGAATAGAGAAAGATGGATAGATGGTTGATAGACAAAGAGACAGATATAAGGGTATATCTGTGTTCATGGACAAATATGTGTATTTACTAAATCTGTCCACTGAAAAGACCTACAACTAGCACTCAGATCTTGTTTTTTTTTTTTTTTTTTTTTTTTTTTTTGAGACGGAGTCTCGCTCTGTCGCCCAGGCTGGAGTGCAGTGGCGCGATCTCGGCTCACTGCAAGCTCCGCCTCCCGGGTTCACGCCATTCTCCTGCCTCAGCCTCCCAAGTAGCTGGGACTACAGGCGCCCGCCACTACGCCCGGCTAATTTTTTGTATTTTTAGTAGAGACGGGGTTTCACCGTTTTAGCCGGGATGGTCCAGATCTTGTTTTATAAATGTCACTCGATGTTAAAAGAAACCAGGGCTTCTTCACAAAATGACTCATTCAGGGACAAGGGAGAAGAAAATACAAGATAAACATGGAACTTTTTATTGTGCCAGAAAGTAAGGAAGTACCTAAAAGTATAATCAGGTAACAAGAAGATGAATAAATGAAAAGTAGAACACATAGTGGAAAACTTTTAGAAACAAATGTGAAATAAGAAAGTGTGGCTCTGATTTTGGTATAAGACAATTCTGAATCCAGGACTTGAAAGCATTAAATAGTATATAGAAAGGTACTTTATATAAAGTTGTACTCTACGATGCCTAGTGAAGATAGGTGATATATAAATATGTCCAGACATAATGCAATTAGTAAGGCTGATTTAATGGGTTGAAATTTAATGGGTGAACAATAAAAACTGCCAGTATACAATTTCTTAGATTGTTGATGAAATATCTTTACAATGTGATCATTTTAGCCTTTATTTTATTTCTATATTTGAAATTTTCTTGCCCATCTTTGGCTGAAAGAACATGTCAACCCATTTCATAAACAAAAAGCAATTAAGCCAAAATTTTTTTTTAATTACAGAAAAATAAAGACCATAAAACTTAAGGGTACATTTACTGAAAACAAAATCTTGAGAAACAAAAAGGGAATATATATTAAAATTTCAGAATATCCAGAAAATAATAAAAATAAAACTCTGTGCATGTATGTAGATAAGTGTCTGTTGTATGTGTATATGTGATGTGGATAGGTACATGTAGATAAATATTTAATTTTAAACTATATTAATTTTTAGTTAAAAACTAAAATAGAGAATAGTTTAAATAGGTTTGTTATTCAAGAAAAATTAAAATGATACGAATAGTTGTTTTAGACCACAGAGAAATTATAATTTAAATTTCAATTCAAGTAAATTTTATAATTTTATAATATATTTGTTTCAAGTCATTGTAAACTCTGAAACCAAAGAATGGCCTCAAATGAATTCTGCAATTTCAGCCCACTCACTTATCTTTTATCATGTTCCAAAATTTATTTGCATGATTTTCACCAGTAGACAGCTTTAATGGAAATCAAATAGCTTACTAATAGAATGCTAAGGTCTTTCCACGAGAGTTAAGCCATTGTTGTTGTTCCTTTAATTAGAAAAAAACCTTTCTAAAAATGGGTTAAATGCAATTGTTATAGATAAACATCTTTTCTGTTGTCTGATTGCATTGGCAACTTGATTAATTTAGTACATCTGTCTTTTATTTTTCCCAGGTTCTTCTGTGGTATCATGATATTATACACCCTTTTATTTCTCTGCCTAATAATTATCTAATGAGATATATTTAACTAGAGGAAAAAAATTTTTTTTAACTTTCAAATAATGAACCCAAGGCCCTTGGCAATATATATGTATAAAGAAGTTAGATTTTATTACAAGCCTTATTTACAGATCTAATAATTTTACTTTTCACTCACATTAGTCCATATAAAATTATTTATTCATAAACTTGTGTAATTTTTTTTGCTATGAGAAAAATACACTTAGAATAACATTATCTGGAGTTGGAAGGCTGTTTCACATCAATTGATACAATTGTGTATCCAAGGGAGAAATTTCCCCGCACAGTGTCCGACAAAGGACTGTTCTATTTCTGATTAATTACTTCAGTGAGGGAGAGAACTGAATAGGTCAAAGAAATCAGTCTTATTGAAAAACTAAAGTATTCAAAAATCAAACCCAATATTTATCTGAAATATTATTTTTATAACTTTCTCCCACATGTTTGTTTAGAACATACTGTTATGCATTCAAAGACAGCAATTACATGTTTAGAGGCCCATAATATACCACCTAAGGGTTCTTTATTTAGCCTGTTGTGGTTCTCTCCAATGTTCTCTTCACTACTGTTCAGTTCTCTCTCAGTCAGCTTCATCTTTTTTCTCAGTAAAAGGCAGGAAACAAGCAAGACTGTTAAGCTGCCATATTGATAGCAACATAAGGCATTTCACAAAAAGGCATTATGAAAATGAGTGTTACTATTTCCTAAGGCGGGGATTCTTCCATGCAGCAATTTCATTCAGTGAGATATGTACTAAAACTTAATGACACTGACCTTAGAAGATAAAACATCTTTCAATTACTCAAGAAATTCTCAATAGCACACGTGTTGTGTTTTTGATAGGCAAACTGTATCTTTCCTCTATTGATTCATTTTTTGTTACTACACAAACAACCGTTAAACTGCTCCCAGGCATTTTCCTAAGTAGTTACTAGTGAGAAATACTTCTGATTTAATTTTTGTAGATTTTCTACTTATGATATCATTACTGTGAAGAGAGATTCTCACTTCTGGGGCATCTTTGAGTGGATTTGGTTTTAGCTGGAGCATCAGCTTCATATGATTGAGCTCTTAGCCATGATCTCAGCTCACTTTACTCTTCTGGCTGTGGTTCACAGTCCTGTCTTTCAAATTAGGTCTGTTTTTCTCTATTCCTTCTGTACTGAAACATACACTTTCTAGTATATGCCCTAATATTATTTCGTATTAACTATACATATCACACAAAATAGCCCATAAACACCATGTGTTTTTCTCTAAAAATATATTTTATCAAATACATTATCTATTTTTATAACTAAAACTATAATTTTCTATATTTCAACACAATGAATTACCTCCTGATCTGTACTACTCATTCACTCCTCACTGATAAGATTTGGATTCAGATTCCCCTTCTTCCGCTGATGAACTGTGTAAACTTGGAGAAAACAATTTATCTTACCTGTAAAGTGTTGAGGTACATATGAGGTATATATTGAATAGATTGTAGGTATTATTTATTTGTTTTTATCAATCCAGTTTTCTCTTTTTCTTTGTCTTACTCATCAATTGAATCTTCACAAGTCATATATATTAATAAGTCATATATATAAATATATATTTTTTAAAAATATAATTATTTCTTTTTTCCTATGCTGTCTTTTTTTGGTAATTTGGAATTTATTTCAGCCAATTATACAGTCATTTTCTGTACAATTATTTTTTAACAGAAGTAATTATTCTCAGTTTTGAATTATCCACAAGTTTCATAGGCATGCCTTTGATGTCTTTAACTAAATCAACTAAAGAATTGTTAACACCTCAGGGCTCTTGACAAAATGTTATATCTTCACTCTTAGCTCAATACTCTCCCAATGCCCCTAAGATAACATTAGGTGTCCGTTATATACGCTCCCAGTGCAGCTTTTAGCTGCCCCTTAGTCACATTTTTTAATTGTAATTGATGGCTTGCTTGTCCATTTCTTTAAAAAGTTAAAAAATGAATCGAGAAAGGGACCCTTGTTCACCATCACCACCTCTGAGTCTAGCAGGCATGCAAATGACATTCAATACAGAGTTGTTGAATGGATGCATCAGTTGACATTTTCTACTTCTATTGCCTTTGTCCCAGGGTGGTACTAATCTACAAATGAACACAATTTTTCAGTCAGTTATACCAAGTTGAGATATGGTAGACTAGTAAGACTGATGCTCTTATCTCACAAAATATTAGAATGAATAATTGAATGAACAATGTCTAAAAATGTAGCAAACGAATTGCATGGATTGTTAATTTGATCAACATCAATGCTTTTGTTGTATAGGAAATATAACTATGGCATATTTAATTATTACTATATAATTCATGGAAAGAGGCCAATATAGTCATGTATATATGTAGAATAACTTATAGACTTAATATCTACCATAGATGAATAGTTTGACTTTTAAATAAAAGATAATATATGGATTTATGCTAAGGCAAGGTCTCCAGGAGGTATTGAATATAGTAGTCAGCTAGGGATGGGATTGTGTCAGAAAATGACAGAAAGCCCTAGTTGGCATGATTTGCTATTCCCTAAGCCAACTGAAGAAAGCCCTCCCAGGGTTATGTGGGAAATGATAAATTTGTTTTCCTTTCATCCCTGCAGCAGCAGCGGGAATATTTTTCTGGCCTATGTCTCCCAGGATTATGAACCCTATAAAAATAAAAGAGAGCCTCAGGTATCCTGTGTAAATTGCTTATTATATGGTACATACATTCTCATTGTAAAAAGCTAAAATCAGTGGGTAAAATATTTTGATACATAAGTATACATTTCATTTCAGGCATTTAAAAAGAACTTGTGGCTGGGCGCAGTGGCTCACGCCTGTAATCCCAGCACTTTGGGAGGCTGAGGGGGTGGATCATCTGAGGTCAGGAGTTCGAAACCAACCTGGCCAACATGGTGAAACTCCATCTCTACTAAAAACACAAAAATTAGCTGAGCGTGGTGGTGGGCACCTGTAATCTCAGCTGCTCAGGAGGCTAAGGCAGAAGAATTGCTTGAACCTAGGAGATGGAGGTTGCAGTGAGCCAAGATTGCGCCATTGCACTCCAGCCTGGGCTACAGAGCAAGACGCCATCTCAAAAAGAAAGAAAAAAAAAAAAAAGAGCATACCTTCATTTGCATTTGCCATGTCATTGTGATATCTGGTTAGGAATTATTGGTTTCTCCAAAAATGTGTCTTCAGTATAAGCATGAGCACAAAGACCTCATGGGCTGTGTGTAAGACAGTTTAAAATGATCCACACAATGTAGTGCCCCTCTTCTCCAGTGTCCACACCCTGCATAATCTCCAAGACTATAAAGTTAATGAATTTTGCTTCCATGTTAGTTTATTTTGTATGGCGTAATTGACTTTAAGAAAGGGAGGACCTCTAGGTGAGGAAAACCTAATCCCCAAGAGCTCCTTAAAATAATTTACTCTAGCTGGTAGCCGAAAATGTCGGAGACTATTCAAAATTCAAAAAGTGAGAAGGACTAAATGTGTTTTGCTGACTTGAAGATGAAACGGTTCACATGGAAAGGACCTGCAAATGGACTGTAAGAACTGAGAGAAATGGCCAACCCATAACCAGCAAGAAAATCCTGATCACAAGGAACTAGATTGTGCCTAAAGTATGAATGAGATTGGAAACAGAGTTCTTTCCACAGCCTCCAGGAAAGAATTCCGTATTGGTTTCAGCTTTGTGACACCCTGTTTGGAGAACCTAGTCCTGCCATGCCAGGTTTCTAATCTACTGAAACTATGAGATAATTAATTTGTGTCGTTTTAAGTCACTGAGTTTGTGGTAATGCAGCAATAAAAAACGAATACAGGCTGGATCAGGAGATATTTGGATCTTAAGAATAAAGGTTTTCATTAAGGTTAGTCAATGAATTGTGGGCATTATTATTTTTGACAAGAATTTAGACACACATACATTGTTAGGTGTTGTTTCTCTCTGAATTAAAAAAGGTTTTCAAAATGTTAATCATTGCCACAGTGGAGGTTGCTTTAAGGCATCTTTACAAACTGTTTTGATGGATTCTAAGAATCTGCATTTCATTCATTTATTTGTGTCCTGCTATTAAAATCCTTAAAAGCATCTAGAAGATGAGCAAATCATAAATGCAAACAATGCTTAAGTGTTTCTGGTGTGTTACCAGAAGAATCTATAATACTTTTGCAGTAGCCATACATCCTCGGTGAAAAGATTGAAAAACTTTGATCAACTTTTGAAGTAGTGAGAGAAAATAAAGTTCTTACTTGGTACTGAAGGTCTTTTTTTCTCATCTTCCCAGACACCAAGATGCTAGGAGGCTTCCACGTGTGCCTTCATTTTTTATTTGCTTTTTCAGACACTAGAGGAATGTATTGCTTCCTCCCTCTGACTGATTCCCCTGGCAAGCCTCTACCTCACTTGAAACTCTATTCCATTTCTTCTTTTGTCTCTTTCTTTAATGCTACCCTCATGCGGCAGCAATGAGCAGGATAAGTTCCATTCCTCTCTCTTGTGTCATACAGAGTTCCACTTGGGTTCATGTATGAAAAAGTTAAAAATATAGACAGTTCTCACATCTATTCCTTTTAGCTGAAAGACAAGAGATTTGAATTGTAATATTTCCTTTTGCAATACTGCTTCAGAGAGAGCATCTTTTTATAAACTCTAGTCCTGAACAAAGGAAATTAGTTTATAGCATTGGCTTTGCCATTAGCTGGATAGTTTTGGTAAGTCATGTGTAATCTCTGGCCCCTTACAGCCTATATTTTTGTTAGTTTCTTACTCTTCTAGTCTTTGGTGAAAATAAAAATGGTCTTTTGCTAGTTAGAATAACTAGGTTTTTCATAATTTGAAATTCCCAGGCAGCAGAGTCTGAGATAGAGATTAGCTGGACTATGGAAGAGTCATTTAAGAACAAAGGTAAATATATAACAATCAGGTGTTTGTTTGATGTGAATCTTAATTGAGTAGGTCTTTGACAGGAGATGTTATAATTAATTTAAATGTTCTACCTTATTGGAAAGCAGTAAGGACTCATTACTGTTTCATTCTCATTCACTCCAGTGCATTTAAATAGACTTTCTTGCTCTTCAAGTTCAGTAGGCCCATGTAAAAAGGAGTACACTAAATAAAATTAATATATAAACACAATTGCAAAGAGACAAAACCAAAAGGACTTTATCTGTACAAAAGATTCATAGAACTTGTAAGAAGAGTTTTTAAGTATGTGTCGTATCACAGCCATATGAAAATACAACACAAAATAAATTCTCTGATAATTTAATGAGATATCTTAATTATTTAAAAATTTGCAAATATTTAATGTAAAAACAAGCACTTGCATAAGCATAGACACTTTGGCTAATTTTGAATTAACCAAAATCAACATTGTTGGAGAAATTGAATATGAAACAACATTGCTTAGAGAGAGGTAGAAAAATACATAAGAGATTTGAAGATAAATCATGAGAAAGAACAGAAGGAAAAAAGAAGAGAAATGAAAGGATGCAGCTAATAATAAAAAATTATCTTGGGTCCCTAAATTTCCAGCTTCCAATGCTCTTGTTTACCAAAAGACCTGACTTTATTATCTACCTCTTGAATTCACTGAGATTTTCTCATCACATCAGTAGCTTTTCTCCCTGACTTGGGTATATATCTCTACATTGCAAGAAAGAGCAAAAGAGCAGTTTTATCCACTTCAAAGTGTTGTTTAAAGATCACACGAAACATTGTTTATACAAAAAATGTGAAAGGTTTAGTGGTATGTGAAATAAAATAATGTATTAAAATGAGAACATTCCTTTTGAGTGCCTTTGAGTTCTACTAACCATTAAATAAAATACCTCTCCACTGCTAGTAAAGAGAATATTTTGAGAATGGCTGAGTCTGAGTTTGGGTTATCCTTCATCTTATCCTTAGAACTATTTCTCTATAGTTTATAACATGGAGCAGTGTTTGAGGTTGTCAGATAACTCATATGTTTCTATATGGTCTCTAAAATAATCTTTCTCGTGGCCTCTTTGACTTTTGCCAAAATAACCTGCATGGCCATATAAACCTGTGTAAGTGATCATCATTATCACAGAGACAAGAGTGTTGCACTTGATCCCAGAGAGTAAAAGAGGTTACTGAAATATATTTGTAGGTGTACTTTTATATAGTAAGAATAAGCATCTGCAAGGGGAAGGTAAACATTAACCTCATTAAACTTCTAGGGCCTAGAGAATGGTTCACTCAGTTAATCGAACAGTAACTGTTGAGGGTAAATTTTGTTTATCCTACCAGACAGTATTGACTGAACATGACAGATAAGATTCTTACTCTTGTTATGCTTGCATTCTCTTGGAGGTGGCAGACAATGAATAAGGTTAAGAGCTGAGACGAAAACAGATCAAGTGCGTGAGCTAATAATGGGTAGATGCTGTGATTCAGAATATTAGTCAGACCAAAAAGGAATGATTTTTCTAAATAGGGTAATAAGAGATGACCCACTGAGAAAGAGATAGTGGAGATGAGATATAAAAGGTGAAAAAGAGCAACCACATGAAGGTCTTCTGAGAGCATTTAAGTCAGAGAAGAGCAAGTACAAAAAATTGAGGAGAGAAGATTAGCATATTTGAAGATAAAAAATTAAAGTTGGAATATATTTTTCTCCTGGAGATGTGGGTTGAACATGGCTTCAAATATGGGGAAAAAACAAATCTTTAACTGGAAAGGACAAATCCAGCTGATAGTTGAATAAAATTTATAGTTTCAGTAGCGATTTTGACTTCTCAAGATTTCTGTTATATGGAAATACTTGCCCAAGTACCTCTTAATGCATTTCACTTTTGTTGTGCTTTTGCTGAGGCATATTAATTTGCAGTACTGTTGTAAATTGTGTCATACTGATAAGAATCAGTCATATATTTCTTTATTCTTAATTGACTCTGCCACTTGCCATGGGTGGGATCTTCTGACTATATATAATCTCAGTTTTGAATTTGTCACACAATACATTTTAAATTAGCAAATAGAAGCAATAAAACATTACAATGGTAATGTCCTAATGGTCATTTCAAAATCTTATTAAATGTGACTATGTTTGTGTGTTTATGAGAAAAAAATTCCCTCCAACATAAAAATTGTCCTTTATTAGATTCTAACTTTAAGTATGTGTATTATTTTTTGAAATATATAAGAATACAGCTAACCAAGGATGTGAAAGATTTCTACAAGAACTATAAAACACTGCTGAAAGAAATCATAAACTACACAAATAAATAAAAAAATTTCATGCTCATGAATTGGAGGGATCAATATTGTTAAAATGTCCATACTGCCTGAAAGCAATTTACATATTCAGTGCTATTTCTATCAAACTACCAATGCCATTTTTCCATAATTAGAAAATTTCATATGAAACCATAGAAGTGCCTGAATAGCCAAAGCAATCCTAAGCAAAAAGAACAAATCTGTAGGCGTCACACTGCCCAACTTCAAACTATACTATACTGTAGTACTACAGTAACCAAGACATGGTACTGGTACAAAATGATACACAAGGACCAATGGAAAACAATAGAGAAATCAGAAGTAAAGTCACATGCCCCCAGCTACAGATCTTCAACACCACCAATAAAAATAAGCAATTAGGAAAGAAAATGGTAAATGGTACTGGGATAACTGGCTAGCCATATGCAGAAGAATAAAACTGGACTCCTGCATTTCACAATATGCAAAAACTAACTCAAGTTGGATTAAATGTAAGACTTAAATGTAAGACCTCAAACTATAAAAATCCTAGAAAAAAACCAAGGAAATACCGTTCTTAATATCAGCCTTGGCAAATAGTTTATGGCTAAGTCCCTAAAAGCAATTGTAAAAACAACAAAAAAAATGGACAAGTGGGACCTAATTAAGCTAAAGAGCTTCTGCACAGCAAAAGAAACTACTAACAGAGTATACAAACAACCTACAGAATGGGGGAGAAAATATTTGCAAAGTATGCACCTGACAAAGGCCTAATATTGAAAATCTATAAGGAGCTTAAATCAATAAGCAAAAATCAAATAACTCCATTAATAGGCAAAAAACATAAGCAGACACTTCTCAAAAGAAGACATACAAGTGGCCAAACATATTAAAAAATGCTCATCATCACTAATCATCAGAGAAATGCAAATCAAAACTTCAATGAGATACCGTCTCACATCAGTCAAAATGGCTATGTATTAAAAAGCAAAAAAATAACAGATACTGATGAGGGTGCAGAGAAAAGGGAATGCTTACACACTCTTCATGGGAAGGAAAATTAGTTCAGCCACTGTGAAAGCAGTTTGGAGAGTTCTCAAATAACTTAAAACAGAGCTACCATTCAACCCAGAAATTCCACTACTGGGTATATATCCTAATAAAAATAAATTATTCTACCAAAAAAACACATGCACTTGAATGTTCATCGTTATGGTATTCACAATAGCAAAAACATGGAACCAACATTGGTACTCATCAGTGGTGGACTGGATAAAAAAATGTGGTACATATATACCATAGAATAGTAAACAGCTATAAAAACAATGAAATCATGTCTTTTGCAGCAACATGGATGGAGCTGGAGGCCATAATCCTAAGCCAACTAACACAGGAATGGAAAACCAAAAACCACCTGTTCTCACTTAAAAGTGGGAGCTAAACATCGAGTACACATGGACATAAAGATGGGAAAAATAGGCAATGGAAACTACTAGATGGGGGAGAAAGGAGAGGAGCATAGGTTGAAAAACTGCCTCTTGGTACCATGTTCACTACCTAGGTAATGGGATCCATACCTCAAACCTCAGCAGCTTGCAATACACTCATGTAACAAATGTGTCTTTGTACCACCTAATTCTAAAATAAAAGTTGAAGAAAAAATGTATATTATTTTAAAGCTTAGATTTTACTGTCATCCTGTCTCCAGCAGAAAATAAAATGCTTCTCTAGACAAACATAGCCACAACTCCAAAAGGAAAAAAAAAAAATATGTCAATGGAAGGTTTTGTGGTTTGTTTTTTTGTTTTCCCCTGAAGGCTTACAGAGTATGATAGGAAACACTTCTTTCCAAGCATCATTGTTCTTTTCGTTTGGTCAGCAATTACTTTATCTACTTTGGAGTTGAAAAGGCATGAATTTTACACACATGCAAATACAGACACATACACGTGTTAATATTGGTATTTGGCATACAGAATCTCCATCAAGTTTGTGGGTAATTATAATTAAGCAGATAGTCATCCACAACATTTATAATGTTTACATTTTATTTATTAAATTGAACTATAAAATTTCATAATAAAACATAGGCACAAAACTGTAAAACTGAGAGTAAACTATTAGCCCTTTTTTAATGAGCCCATTAAAGTTAATGTGTATACATAGAAAATATAACTATCAAATTGTTTACAGATCTTTCTTTGCCATAAATATTTTTTAAGACTGCCTGTATATTTCTAGGTAGATCTGGCAGCAGATGGAGTCAACCATTTCAAGTTTGTAATTATTCAGAAACAGCATAATTGGACGGGTGCAGGGTAATAATAGCGCAATGCCATCTATAACTCAGGAAGCCTTGAGCTGGGTACTAGGATTCAGAAACAAGTGGGGAATTTAGAAATTTAAGTAGGTAAAATCAAGAATGAGACTTAAATAGAGTTATTCCCCCTTAAGTGCAGGAGATATATTCTAAGACCCCCCCCCCAGTGGAAGCCTGAAACTTGCAGAAAGTACTAAACTCTCTCTATATATATATTACGGTTTTTCCTATACATACATCCCTATGATATACTTTATAAAGTATGCTCAGTATGAGATGAGCAACAACTATTGATAAAATAGAACAGTTATAACAATACATTATAATAAGTTAAGTGAATGTGGCTTCTCTCAAAATATCTTACTGTACACACCCTTCTTGTGATGGTGTGAGATAATTGCCTACTGATGACATGAAGTGAAATAAATGATATTGGCATGGTAATGTAGCTTTAGGCTATTGATGATTCTAACTATGGTGAGAATGAATATCATATGCTTTGGAAAATCCTAGGTCATCGAGCGCTGATGCCAATGGTTGGATGTCATGAGCAGACAATGTGATGTCTAATGGGCTGGTAGCAAATCGTGTCAACCATTTCAAGTCCATGATTATTCAGAAACAATTGGTAGCATAGACATCATGGATACACTGGACAAAGGGGTGATTCATGTCTCAGGCAAAGTGTGACATCATGAGATTTCATCATACTCCTCAGAATTGTATGCAACTTAAAATCTATTAATTGTTTATTTCTGGATTTTTCTATTTAATAACTGAACTGTGGTTGACTGCGGGTAACTGAAACCATGAAAAGAGAAATCTTGAATAAGAGAGGACTACTGTATCATTTCTTATGCATTCTTACATCCTTTGAGACTCTCCTAAGCTTGCTAATATTTGCTGCTTTTTGATAGTCTCTTTCTCATGGATTTCCAAATGAATGAAAAATTTTAAAAAACCATTATTATTACTATTTTATTGAATAAATTGTAATTGCTGTGTTTTTGCCTGCGTGATTAGACTACATCTTAATACCTTAAATTTTTTTTATTGTAAATTATGACACTGTTTTAGGAGTTACTGAGAAATTATTTTAGGCAGATATAGAGGAAAGGGGGTCCTCGGGAAGTTTTTGTTTCTTTTAAAGCAGCTCCAGAAACATTTCTTGTCTAGCAGGAAAGCCCAGGCTCTTAGAACTGGGCTGGCAAGCTTTGATATGCAAATGCTGGCCATTAGAAACTGGGTTCACCCCAATATGACAATTCCTGCCATTTTCTTCCTCGCCCCCACATGTGCCTGGCAACATGGCTGCCCCTACATATTCCCACATGTGTAGAATATCATGGCACCCTGCATTTGCAGATTAAAAGGCTACTGTGTGAGGGCCAGTTTGTTCATGGGCTATATGAATGACATACCTGGTCAAATCAATACCCTGAGCCCTATGAAAATCAGACACTGCCTCCTTCAGCCCCCTTATACAACTGAGTCTGACCATGTGACAACTTTACTGCTAGCATAACCAGCACTTGAGAAAGCCAGCACACTAAACCTATCTACAACCAGAGTCTACATCACTCCAATGCCTCCTCTACCAGATCAGATGCTGGTGTTCATGGCAGGGACACCTGAAGACTAGTCATATCACTGTACTCTTTGCAGACATTCCCCATCACCAGCTCAGAGCCCGGTAGCTCCACTAGGTGGCTAGACCCAGAAGAGCAATAACAATCACTGCAGTCTGGTTCTCAGGAAGCCCCATCCCTAGGAGAAGGGGGAGAACACCACATCAAGGAATCACCCCAGGGGACAAAAGAATCTCGACAGAAGGCTTTGAGTTGCAGACCTTTCCCCAGGTTTGTAGTTTCTCGAGTAGAGAAACAATTGCAGTGCTGGGTGTAATAGGGAAAGTCTGCACCTATACACCAACAGGCAGGCAGCCCCTGTGATCATGAAGGGCCTTGGAGAAGGGGTCCTTGTCCCTGCTGGTACTTATTGCAGATAGAGCTGGGGCTTCCCCCACAGGAATGCAACATGGAGGCACCTATGGACAGCCTTTCTGGAACAATCCAGGATAAGTGCAGCCCAACAAGAGGAGCACCCCCCAGATTTAGGCCTTCATGAGAGGCAGAGTCACATTTCCTCTCCACTTGGAACATCAACATTCCTATAGATGAAAAGAGGTGCCTGTCTGATCTGAAGAGCTGAAATACTAGGACAGGAGTGAGGCTGCTAGATGAATAGCATTCCTGTTGACCTGGCAGGGGAGCTGAGGTAGCTCCCAATCTTCACCCTGATAAAACCTCAGCAAAACTAATTGAGAGTTCCCCCAGCTACCCTCATCAAGGCTGGGACCTTGACCCACAACTGGTGGGTATTACAACTACCCACCTACCTTAGCTGCAACCACTGCCTACCCAGAAATACCTCCCCTATTGGTCTGAAGCCTGAATCATCAGCTCAGTAAATAAAACACGAGGAAAGCATTGAATAAATAAATAAAGTGTACACCATGAGAGAAAGAGATAACCTTCAAGAAATTCCTGCCTTTCCAACACCATAGGAGACAGTGAACTCACTCACACACCAAAAATAAAACTACTACAGCGCAATCAAGGAGAGCCAGGAAACAAAGACTCTATAGCTAAATAACTCATACCAAGTCTTCACCCCTACAAGCATGAAGAATCAAATTAGTCTAAAATAAACATTAAAGACTGATCCTTAAGAGGGAAAAATTTAAATTAAAAAAAGCCCAATATAAAATAAATTCAAGAACAATTTTTAGAAATATTCTACCCAAATGAGAATGAACCAGAAAAGTAGTTCTGGTAGTATGACCAAACAGATTCTATAACACCCCCAAAAGATTACAGTAGCTTTCCAGCAATGGATCAAAACCAAGACAAAATCTATAAATTGACAGATAAAGAATTCAGAAGGTTGATTATTAAACCACTCAAGAAGATACCAGAGAAAGGTGAAAATTGACTTAAACTCAAAAAGATATAGAATATCGATAAAAAATTTCTAGAGAAATAGATATCATAAAGAAAACCAGTCACAACTTCTGGAAATGAAAGACGCACTTAGGGTGTCTTGCTAGAGATCTAGACATCCAAATATAAGAAGCTCAAAAGACTTCTGGGTTTTTCGCCCAGGCTAGAGTGCAATGGTGTGATCTCAGCTCACTGCAACCTCTGCCTCCTGGGTTCAAGTGATTCTTCTGCCTCAGCCTCCCCAGTAGCTGGGATTACAGCCTGGCTAATTTTTGTATTTTTAGTAGAGATGGGGTTTCACCATGTTGGCCAGGCTGGTCTTGAACTCCTGACCACATGTGATCCACCCACCTCTGCCTCCCAGAAGTCCTTTGAGCTTCTTATATTTGGATGTCTAGATGTCTAGCGAGACTCTGTCTCAAAAGAAAAAACAACAACAAAAAAAAGGGACTCCTGGGAAATTCATTGCAAAAAGATTATCACCTAGGGGCAGAGACTCATCAGGTTATCTAAAGTCAAGATTAAGGAAAAAGTCTTAAGAGCTGTGAGACAAAAGCATCAGGTAACCGAAACAGGAAAACCTATTAGATTAACAGCAGCTTTCTCAGCAAAAACCTTGCAAGCCAGAAGGGATTGGCATCCTATATTTAGCCTCCTCAAACAAAATAATTGTCAGCCAAGAATTTTGCATCCAGCAAAACTCAGCTTCATAAATGAAGGAGAGAGAAAATCTTTCTCAGACAAACAAATGCAGAGAGAATTTGCCACTACCAAACCTCACTATAAGAAATGCTAAAAGGAGTTCTAAGTCTTGAAACAAAACCTTGAAATACACCAAAATAGAACCTTCTTCAAACATACATCTCCCAGAGCCTATAAAACCATAACACAATGGAAAAACCGAGGTATTTAGGCAATAACTAACATGATGAATAGAACAGTATCTCAAATCTCATCGCTAATGTTGAATGTAAATGGCCTACTGTTCCAATTAAAAGAAACAGATTGGCAGAATAGATAAAAATCCACCAACCAAGTATCTGCTGCCTTCTAGAGACTCACCTAACAAATAAGGACTCACATAAACTTAATGTAAAAGGTAGAAAAAGGTATTCCACAAAAATAGAAACCAAAAGCAAGCAGGCATAGCTATTCTTATATCAGACAAAACAGACTTTAAAGCAAGAATCATTATTTATATAATGATAAAAGGACTTGTCTAACAGGAAAATATAACAATTCTGAATATATACGTACCTTAACATTGGAGCTCCCAAATTTATGAAACAATTACTAATAGATGTAGGAAATGAGATTGATGGTAACATAATAATGGTGGGGACTTTAATACTCCACCCGCAGCACTAGATAGATTATCGATACAGAAAGACAACAAAGAAACAATGGAATTAAACAGTACCCTAGAAAAAAATGGACTTAACAGATATCAACAGAACATTCCACCAAACAACTACAGAATATACCGTCTTTTCATTAGCACCTAGAACATTCTCCAAGATAGTCTATTTGATAGGTCACAAAACAAGTCTCAATATATTTAGGAAAACTGAAATTATATCAAGTACTCTCTTAGACCACAGTGGAATAAAATTGGAAATCAACTCTGAAAGGAACCCTCAAAACCATGCGAATACATGGAAACTACCTGCTTCTGAATGACTGTTGGGTCAGCAATGAAATCAAGATGGAAATTTAAAAAAAATTTGTACTGAATGATGATAGTGACACACCTATCAGAACCTCTGGGATACAGCAAAAATGGTGCTAAGAGGAAAGTTCATAGCGTTAATTGCCTACATCAAGAAGTCTGAAATAGGACAAATAGACAATCCAAGGTCCAGCTCAAGGAACTAGAGAAATAAGAACAAACCAAAACCAAACACAGCAGAAGGAAAAAAAAGTAACAAAGATCAGAACAGAACTAAATGAAATTGAAACAACACCACAATACACAAGATAAATGAAACAAAAACCTGGTTCTTTGAAAGGATAAACAAAATTGATAGACCACTAGTGAGATTAACCAAGAAAAGAAGAGAGAATATACAGGTATGCTCAATTAGAAACAAAACAGGAGATGTTAAAACCAGTAACACAGAAATACAAAGAATCATGCAAATCTACAATGATCACCTTAACATGAAAAACTAGAAAATCTAGAAGAGAAGTATAAATACCTGGACATATACAACCCTCCTAGCTTAAACTAGGAAGAAATAGAAACTCTCAACAGACCAATAACAAGTAGCGAGATTGAAATAGTAATTTAAAAATTGCCAGCAAAAGAAGTCCATAACTGGGTCAATTCAGAGCTGATTTCTCTCAGACATTTAAAGAAAAATTGATGCCAATACTACTAAAACTATTCCAAAAGATTGAGAAAGAGGCAATCCTTCCTAAATCATTCTATAAAGCCCATATCATCCAAATTCCAAAAGAGGAAAGGACACAACAACAACAATAAAAAGTACAGACAAATATCCCTGATAAACATAGATGCAAAAATCCTCAACAAAATACTAGTTAACTGAATCCAACAGCATATCAGAAAGAAAATCCACCATGATCAAGTGGATTTCATACCAGGGATGCAGGAATGGTTTAACATACACAAGTCAATAAAGGTGACACATTACATAAACAGAATTGAAAACAAAAATCATATGCTCATTTCAACAGATTCAGAAAAAGCATTTGATAAAATCCAACATCCCTTTATGATTAAAACTCTCAGCAAAATTGATATAGAAAGGACATACCTCAAAGTAATAAAATCCATCTATGACAAATACACAGCCAGCATCATACTGAAAGGGGAAATGTTGAAAGCATTCCCTCTGAGAACGGGAGCAGGACAAGAATATCCACTTTTACCACTTCTATTCAGCATAGTATTGGAAGTCCTAGTCAGAGCAATCAGACAAGAGAAAGAAATAAAGGAGATTGAAATTGGAAAAGAGGAAGTCAAACTGTCACTGTTCACCAATGATGTGATTGTATACCTAGAAAATCCTAAAGACTCATCTAAAGCTCCTAGACTGGATAAATGAATCGGTACAGTTCCAGGATACAAAATCAATGTACACAAATCAGTAGCACTGCTATATGCCAACAACAACAAAGCTGAGAATCAAATCAAGAACTCAATCCCTTTTATAGCAGTTGAAAAAAAAAAAACACTTAGGAATATACTTAGCCAATCAGGTGAAAGATCCCTACAAGGGAAACTACAAAACATTGGTGAAAGAAATCATCAATGACACAAACAAATAGAAATACATTCTATGCTTATGGATGGGTAGAACTAATATTGTAAAAATGACCATACTGCCAAAAGCAATCTACAGATTCAATGCAATTCCCATCAAAATACCACCATCAATCTTCACAGAAATAGAAAAAACAAACCTAAAATTCATCTGGAATAAAAAAGAGCCTGCATAGCCAAGGTAATACTAAGCAAAAAACAAATCTGAACACATCATATTACCTGACTTCAAACTATACTACAAGCCTATAGTTACCAAAACACCATAGTACTGGTAGAAAAATAAGCAGGTATACCAATAGAATATAGTAGGGAACTCAGAAATAAAGCCAAATACTTAAAGCCAACTGATCTTTGACAAAGCATACAAAAACATAAAATGGGGAAAGACACCCTATTCAACAAATGGTGCTGGGATGATTGCCAACCACATGTAAAAGAATGAAACTGGATCCTCATCTCTCACCTTACACAAAAATCAACTCAAGATAGATCAAAGACTTGAAACCATAAAAATTCTAGAAGGTAATGTCAGAAAAACTCTTCTACACACTGACTTAGGCAAAGAGTTTATGACCAAGAACCCAAAAGTAAATGCAATAAAAACAAAAACAAATAAATGGGATCTAATTAAACTAAAATGCTCCTGTGCAACAAAAGAAATAATCAGCAGAGTAAACAGACAACCCACAGAGTGGGAGAAAATATCTTCGAACTGTGCATCTGACAAAGGACTATAATCCAGAATCTACAAGGAACTCAAATCAACAAGAAAAAACAAATAATCCTATCAAAAAGTGGGCAAAGGACATGGACAGGTAAAATTGTTAAAAGAAGATTTACAAATGGCCAACAAACATATGAAAAACTGTTCCACATCACTAATTATCAGGGAAATGCAAACTAAACCACAATGAGATACCACCTTACTCCTGCGAAAAATGGCCATAATTTAAAAATCAAGAAATAGTAGATGTTGTCTTGGATATGGTGAAAGGAGAACACTTTTACACTGCTGGTGAGAATGTAAACTGGTACATCCACTGTGGAAAACCGTATGAAGATTTCTTAAAGAACTAAAAGTAGAACTATCATTTGATCAAGCAGTCCCACTACTGGGTATCTACCCAAAGGAAAAGGCCATTATATAAAAAAGACACTGTACACGCATCATTATAGCAGCACAATTTCCAATTGCAAAAATATGGAACCAGCCTAAATGCCCATCAATCAATGAGTGGATAAAGAAAATGCGGTATATATACACCACGGAATACTACTCAGCCATAAAAAGGAACAAAAGAATGACATTTGTAGCAACTTGTATGGCATTGGAGACCATTCTTCTAAGTGAGGTAACTCAGGAATGGAAAACCAAATATTGTATATTCTCACTTATAGGTGGAAGCTAAGCTATGAGGTTGCAAAGGCATAAGAATGATTCAATAGGGACTTTGAGGACTCGGGGGAAGGGATAAAAGACTACACTGCTTGGGTGACAGGTGCACCAAAATCTCAAAAATCAGCACTAAAGAACTTATCTATATAACCAAAAACAATTTGTTCCTGAAACTCTTGAAATAAAATTGATGAGGACAAGTATGGAGACTTTTATCATGATCCACTTCTACTTAATGAATATTAAATATACCTTCCTTTAAAAATAAAAATAAAGTATACAATTCAGCAGTTTTTCGGCATATTCACAGTTTGTCAGCCATCATCACTGTCTCATTACAGAACATTTAGATCACCAAAAAATATATGCAAAAACCAACCACATACTTATTAGCAGTCATTCTCCACACAACCCCTTCCTACAGCCCCAGGCAACCGCTAATCAGCTCTCTGTCCAAGAGTTTGTCCATGCTAGACAATTCACATAAATCATATAGTATATGGAAAGGGATTCATTATTTTATTTTTCTCTTACATAATCACATTTTAATGAAATATCTGATACTGATTCTGCCACCATTTAAAAACTCAAAAATTGAATGTCTGTCCCTTCCATAGGGAGCTTACAATTATTTTGGGAATGGTTTCCACTACTTCTGCTGATGATTTCTCTTTTGATCCATTTCTTATTTGTTCAAATGTAGTTTGTGTTAGAATTAGACAGCTTTTTCTCACCCTTAGTGGCCACTTCTTTTAATTTTTATTTATGATCAAAGATAAAACTCAAAAGCCAACCATCAATAATCCACTTTGATCATTATCCTCTTAGAAACTCCCAGTTGACCCCTTCTTGAGGCCAGTACCTGCCTCAGCTCTCTAGGAACTGTGACTCTGCCAAATTCCACTTTGTTCTGGAACTAACTACCTTTTGCTTTCTGTCCTCTGGCTTCACACCTTAAGTTAGGACAGATCTAGCTTAAAGTCTTTCCTCCAATCTGAGTTTTTTTTTTTTTTTTTTTTTTTTTTTTTGAGACGGAGTCTCGCTCTGTTGCCCAGGCTGGAGTGCAGTGGCGCCATCTCGGCTCACTGCAAGCTCCGCCTCCTGGGTTCAGGCCATTCTGCTGCCTCAGCCTCCCAGGTAGCTGGGACTAGAGGCGCCCGCCACCACGCCTGGCTAATTTTTTATACTTTTAATAGAGATGTGGTTTCACCGCGTTAGCCAGGCTGGTCTTGATCTCCTGACCTCGTGATCCGCTCGCCTCGGCCTCCCAAAGTGCTGGGGTTACAGGCATGAGCCACCGTGCCTGGCCCAATCTGACATCTTAATATGCTACATTGTCCTGCTCCTGCACTCCCAACATAGCTTTAACCCCATAAGATATCCTGATGCCTCTACTTGCATAAAAGCCAACCCTAGTTAATGCTGACCTGTTGCTCTGTATCTACCTGACTCTCAATAACTGCCTATTCAGATTTCTAACCTAGAATATCTACTACTCAAGTTGCTTATTAAAGACAATTTTGATTGGCTTGGCTTTATACAGAATTTAAACATTTAAATAAAAAAAATCCACTTTTATCTTAAACACCACTCTTTGTGTATATAACTCAACAAAATCCAATTTTCTATTTTTATTAGAATTTGTCATTTCAAATTTCTACACCAAGTTATCACCATTTTCCCACACTGACTGATTTTCCAACACTATTTGTCAACAGCATGTATTAGTTCAGTTAATTTTCATCTCAATTCTTTCAGTTGTTTCACTTAATAACCAGACTCTCCGTGTGGTTTATAGTCTAATTATTTAATTTCTTAGTTCCATAATGTTATCCATGTTCCACATTCACCACACTTTATTTCTGATCTTATTTCAACTATTTCAACAGATTCATTTGATAAGTTTTTCTCTTTTTTTTCCAGTATTTCCCATACTTTTTTCTTCCTTAAGTTTTATTTTTTTTTTTCAAATTTAATTTTCTGACTTTACTGATACTGAATTCTGTTAAATACTTACAATTTTAGGATAAACATTTTCGTTGATAGAATTTATTACTGTCTAACTGTTTTAAAAAGTAGGCAATTCTAAATTTATCATGATTTCATTGCACACTTGCTATATCCCAGGAAATTTGCCAGGTGCTAGGGATAAAGACATGAGTTACAGACTTCGTGCTCAAGTAGCTAGCACAGGAATTGGGCAACTAAACAAATTCTAATATATCTTTTTGAGTTAAAATAGAGGTATGTACATTACATTTATTTTCTATTGCTGCCATTTTGTTATATATATCACCTGCCATATTTATTATATATATTTATTACACATATTACCACGTTTATAGAGGTTTAAAATAACATAAATTTATTATCTTACAGTTCTGTAGGTCAGAAATTCACTGAATCTCATTGGACAAAATCAAGGTTATGCCATGTGGTCATAGGACTGAGCCATGATTTCCTTTTCAGCTCTCAGCTGCGGGCTGGTCTCTGTCTCTCCAGTCCTTGTACAAGGCCCACTACATCTCAAAACCAGCCACAAGACATCAAACTCTTCTCTGGCTGCAATGCCTCTCGCCATTCTTCTACAGTCACATCTTTTTCTTTCTCTCTCTGACTGCACCAGAAAAAGCTTATTCCATTTTTTAAGTCTCTCAGATTGGCTCAGATGGATAATTCACTATAAGCTCAACCTCTCAATACTATTCTTAATCATATCTGCAAAGTACATTTTGCCATGTAAGATAACATATTCGCAGGCTCCAGGGATTGGGAGGTGGACACCTATTATTCTGCCCACCACATACAGGATGCTACAGAAACAGAAGAATGTTTAATGCAATGCAAGAAAGTAAACTTGAAATGGAATATATTAAACTCCTCAAGGGCATGGGCTGGATCTGCTTTATTCACTGCTTGTGTTATCTACCCTAGCAATTTGGGCCTTGTAGGTTCAAAGTAAATATTCTATGAAAAAGGTTAATAAATGAAGTGACAGTTGTGTACTTCTCCAGAGAATGTGTATCAGGTAACCAACAATATAAGAGGTAATAGACAGCATGGGCATTTAGGGAACTGAAAAGAGCTTAGCATGATAAGACTGGAGAAGCTAGTCACTGGTATTAAGGAGTTGGAACGATATAGGTGATTAAATGCCACAAAATGATTACAAGAGAAAAAGTAATATTTACAGAAAAATAATTCCAGCTGAAGTAAAGAAATAGATTGAGTCAGTGGAGCGAGGATATATATAAAACTAAAAGCTGGGATACCCTTAGTTGACAAAATTGAAACACCTGTGATCAAATGCACTGGGTACATTAAAATCTAATATGCTTTTAGATTTTCAGTCTCTCTGAGAGAAAAAGAAATGAAAGTGTCATTTGCTTTCATCTTTGAATGGTTGTCGTGATGCTGTGATATGGCTTTCTAGTAGGAAAAATAAAGACAACAATGAGAAAAAGATAAGTCACTGTCATACAAGTGAATTTAAGAATGAAATGTCACTCAGAACTATTCTTGGTATTCTATAAGCAACATAACTGCAGAATAAATACAGAAAGAAAAGGCAGTAGACTTGGTATAGGGTGGTCATACATTCTAGTTTACTTCAAAAGACCTGGTTTAGAAATATTACCCAGTATCCTGACTGCATGATTTTTTGTTCTCAAAAGTTTTCCAATCTGGGTGATAAATTACTCTAATTATACAGAATCACATTTCAAAAAAAAAAAACATGATACAATTATTTTTAAGACAACAGCTTAGATTATTACTATTTTTTCCCGTACCCTCAGACTTAATGGCTGAGTAGAAAGTAACTATTTTTAAAAAGAACTAAGCTGCTTTATCTTTAGACCATGCAATGGTACTAACTTTGGGTGCTCCCAAAGAGAGTAGTCCAAATTGTTTACATCCGGTTTTAAACATTGGTTTGGTTATAATAGCCATTAAAAACCTTTTCTTCAGCTTATATCTATATATGATTAGAAGTTAATCTCATTTTAGTACTGTTATTCATTTTTACAAAATATCACAGATATAAATAATAGAGCTAGTCAATATAATTTGTTGTAGTTTAAAATAAATAATTACTTTAAAAAAAAGAAAAAGACTAGAGACAGTGAAACCTAATAGAAAAAAATCTAGATTTAAAATTGAGCATTTCTTTATTACAATCCTGGGTTGGCTCACACTAGCTTTATAATTATGTACAAATTATTTAACTTACAGGGCCCTCGTTTTTCATAGGCTGAAAAAAGAAGCCATTTCTCCCTCACAGAGCTGTTATGAGAAATAAGAGACTATAATGCAAGTTTCTTACCTTAAAAGAGTTCACTGAATTTCTGGTTTCCTGGGGCAGATATCTTTCTGTTAGGTATTGTGTTACACGCATGTTTTATATTTAATTCACTTGAACATTCAATGCACTCTTCAATAATCTGACACTAAAGAGGTTGGAGAAGATGCAGTGTCATTTGAAAGTAAAGAACATTTCTTGCTTTTTCTTTCTGCATTTCAGCATAGAGGAGTTCAGCTTCCTATCTTCTGTGTGCCCAAATACCTTCAATTCAGTCATTAAGAACCAGAATTGTGGCCAAAGCCATGGATGCCTTTCTTCCTGCAGTTGAGTAGGAATACCCTTTCCTTTCTCCTGAGCATTAACGAGACTAAAAGGGTTAAACCTATACACTCACTTTATCTATGTGTAATAAGCTAGCAGAGTCTTTCTCACAGTGTGGTAAAATGGGCCCTTTACCCAGACTTTCTTAGTCTTGGTTGTGAAGTTCAGGAGAAACGCAAATCCTTCTGGAGCTAAGTACCTGGAGATGCTCCAGCAGAAGGACCTCTAGATTAGGAAACCACAAAGTAGTTCTAGTTTTATCATACATTTTCATTTTTTAAACTTGAGAAATCTAGAATGGGAAAATTATAACAAGGAAATTTTTTTTTTCAAAACAAGGGGTAAGTGCGTCAAACGAGGAATAGAATACACCCAACTTTAGTTTTCTTGATCACTTGTCCCACCCTCAGAACACTTTATTTTCTAAGGACTCTTGTCTATAATTGAATTGGAACCTAACATACAAGTGGATTTAAGAATTAAATTTCACTCAGAACTACTCTTGGTATTCTATAAGCAACGGAATTGCAGAATGAATAAATAAGGTGTAGACAGTAGGCTTGGCATAGGGTGATCATACATTCTACTCTGCTCCACTAGCTCTGTTTCTCTTACTTCTATAACATAACAGAAACAAAATTCAACTTAAAGAAATATAATTTACAAATGGCCACTGTCAACAAGGCCTGACTTTAGAAAAATTCACTTGTGTTTAGAACTTATTTTGTTCATTTGAGATGATTTTACTTGACAAAACGTTAAGAATACAAATATAAAACTATATCAGTAGAATACCTTTAACTGCAAAAAAGAAAACTTGAGTTCAACCAAAAGGATCTTTAACATTTTACTCAGCACACACCTATTAGACATGCACTCTGTTCATATTGAAAGGCTACAGATGGATTCAGTTGATGGGGCCAGTGCTGGTATTGCTGAGGCTCAAAGCAATGTCTCTTGTTGGCACAGTCCATGATATTAACAATCGTGTAAACCAAGCACTTGGTAAAATTCCACAGGCACCCAAAGTTAAATAAATTTTCTAAAATGATGAAATTTATCAATTTGCTTCATCTGAGACATTGGACTTATGTAAATGATATATTTTTCTAACCCAGTCCCTTTATGAGTATAATTTGTAATTAGCCATAGAATAATGTAATACAAATTTTAAAATAGATCAATATAATCCTTTTAGCATATGGAATATCATACAATTCACAAAAATCAAGCATGGCACCTAATACAGAATCTATAATAAAAACAATCTTCAGTAGATTCTAGTGCTGTATAAAGCACCGTGATTTTTATAAACAGAGAAAAATGCGGAGACCTACATGCTTTTCCTACATGAAACCAAAGCTCCAGATGTTTAGGATCATCAAAAACACTGAATTGCTTAAACGTCTGCAGAACTGTATTTTTACTTAACTTTTCATTTTTATAGTTTTATGAGGGTGGCCAAAACTTGGGTCCCTGAGAATTTTAATGCTAAATATAAACTATTTTTCTTATGTCCTGTGCTGAAAGTGGTTCTGAAATGTCTAATTAATTACTCCTGTAAAAGATAGAGAAGAAAGGAAACAAACCTCAGAATGGCACTCTCTGGTACACATTTTTATATAAATCACATATCTTGATACTTTCCTTTCTTTGCTTAAAATGCTAAATAACTTTCCTTTACAGAGAAAAATGAAAGAAAGGTTACTTTTAAGATCTGGATATTAAACTAATGTTTACCTAGAAAGTCCTATATCAGCATCTTTTCCCAATCCCAATAAATGTGACCACTCCTATATTTGTTCCAAAAGTATATATTTATCAAGAATTTACGCTTTGCAAATAATGGTATTAGCAGTGTAGGAATGTGGTTATTTGTTTGTTTGTTTGTTTTAGAGAGAGAATTTAAGGCTGATAGACAAGAGCTAGGGAATGAGAAAAGACCATCTATGAGTTGTAAAAGGGATAATAGTGTCTTCCAAGTTCTTCAAAGGAGAAAGATTTCCAGCTAAGGTGGCCAGGGAAGTGGCTGAGATAAAGTGGAATATATACTACACCTGGAGTTTAAGCTACTAGTGATTCTGGACTCCATTTATCTGAGGTGGTGTCAAGCATTGATAATTTTTTAAGATTCCTAAGTGATTCTAATAAAAAATTAAGAATGATTAATCTAGAGAGAAGAAAAATAGGAAGAGAGAGGGATAAGAAAGGGAGGTAAAAGAGGATGACAGGAGGAAGAAGAGGGGAGGGGAAGGATAGGAGGGCAGGAGAGGTGGACATTATTTAGCGTACAAGAGAGACGGGTATGAACCAAAATGTAAAGTCAGGGATGTGTAAGACAAGGTAAATAAAATCATCAGAATCAAGTGTTGGCTGGATTCAAAAAGGCGTGGTTTATACTGTAAAGTTGAACTACATTTCTTAAAGTTGATTGTGATTGTTCAGATAAATTTATTTTGTCTCCTAGGTAACTAGGTAAATATTTGAGGTTTGTAGAGGGGTTACAAGAAAACCCTTTGAGCATTAGTTATCAAGTATGTGTGCATAAGATTCATTTGTGGAGCTTATTTAAAAATATGGACCATGACTCAAGAGATTCCTACAGAGTATTCTGGGGTGAGGCCCAGTCTCTGCATTTTACACATGTCCTTCAGCTGATGCAGGTGTTACATGGATCAATCTATTCCAGTGTAACAATAGTTTTTGCAGGAAATGAGATGTCTGATGATCGTGACTAATTAAACAAATCAAGAAATATTTATGTAGTACTGCTGTATGTTGGGCACTATTTGATATACTGAGGATAAAAGCATCTCAGGAAGGTCAAGGACCTTACCCTTAAAAACTGTTTAAAATGAGGAGACATGTAAACTAGTAACAACAATAATAGTTATTTATTATTAGTATTAATAAGTAATATTTATTGGGGTGCATATGTGTATGGTACTAGGCAAATCCCTTTATGTACATTAATTATGCTTTAAAATTTTTTTCTCACTTCAACACTCTAAAGTAAGAATCATTTTTATCACTTTTCTCCACTAAGAAGGTAGAAGTCCAACCTTTTTTACTAAACAAATTATGATGCCACCAAGTGAGGTGTGGAGAAGAAAAAAATAATTTTATTGTTAGAAAGATAATTTTACAATTTCTGGAAGTTTATGCATTTAGAGTTCCATGAAGTTTTAGAGCTACAGATTTAGAAATAAAAACTAGTGTCAGTTACAAACTCCTATCATCTCATCTAGGGTAGCTCTATCCATATCAACATGACTTTGCTTGTTACAGCATGTAAGTAAGTTAAAAATGAATTCTTACATAAGCTGGTCAAAGCATTCTTTTGGCTCTCATAATTGTTGAAATTTACTTTTTCTTATATGTATATGTTTTTTTCAAAATCTGTATTCTTGCGTAAATTAAGGCTTTGTCTCATGCAACGTGATTAGTGCTGGAGTCCTGTATTGAGTATGTGGTAAAGAAATATTTAAATAATGACAAGAACTTTAGTTTGACACTTCTACAGATGACAAATATATTATCGGTGTTAAAAAATTCTATCAAATCTCTTCAGACAATAACGAGTGTTAATGTTATGGTATACATCTGATTTTTATACTTTATTTCTACTAATAATTGGCAAATCTGTTTTTTTACATCTATCCTGAGTAAGGTTACTCTCATTTCTTTGAAATCCAGATAATTAAAAATATAATATATATTTTATAAATTAAATTGTATACAAAAATCTAAATTATGTCACAAATTGGGTGAAATTAACCAACAGCTCTTGCACTTAATAAGATTATCACAGAGAAAAAAGGTCATACAATTATTTATTTTTAAAAACATTGAACATTTGAGTAAGCAAACGAAAGTTCTCATTCTACGCAAATGAATCATCTTACCGACACAGGAATAACTTCCAACAAAATTAACCAAGCAACATATCATACTTCCCATGCCATGCTAAGAGGACAGCAGACAAAGTAGATCTGGAAAAACTAAATTGCTTTTATGATTAAGTTAAATCCATTATTAATCACTTACTAATCACTGATTAATTAAAATCATTAATTACTAAATTAACTGTTAAATTATTACAACTTTGAGAAAAAAGTCATCTTTCCACTTCATCCCAAAGCATGTGGATACTTTCCTTATTTGCCTTGATCTGGCAGAATCTTAGTTTGTCAATTTTTAGGGCAAATGCCATTTTGCTTTTAACAGTAATAAGATGGTAATAGTGTAAGCAACAACTCTTTAACCACTCACTCCTTACTGGCAGCTCAACGTTTCCGAGTGCCTTCCCATAGCAGTTAAGATTGCATAAGGTCAAATTTCCCTTTTGTTAAATAAAGGTTTGTCACATCAAGGTAATTAGAACTATGGTGAGCATCGCAAGTTTTATTCTGCTTGCTCATCACCTGGGAATATATAAAAATTCTATCATTATTCTTTAGTGAAATCTGAGTGATTTCTATATTTCCACATAAGAAAGTTACATTCGTTGAGGACTTCTGGGAAGTCACTGTTATGAGGTAACATTCCAGGAATCCTTTTGTCTATATTCCCATTAAAATACACATTAATAATAGTAACAACTACCATTGCTGAAATGCTTACTATGTACCTAGCATTGTGATACATTCTTAGCCTCCATTACTTACTCTTTATAATAATCCTTTCACATGATGAAATTGAAACTCATGGAGATTGAATTGCCTGAAGACACATAGCTGGAATCTGGGAGACCTGGGATATTAACTTAATTGTGTGTAATTCCAAAGGCCACGTTCTTAACTATTATTCTGTCTTGTAACTCTTGAATACACGGAAGTAAAAAAACTTTTCAACAGTTATGTCAATTAATAAGAACCAATCATATTCAAAATTCTAATTTCCATTTATAAAAATGCAATGTCAATAAACCGATAATTTTAAAACATTGCATAAAAATGAGTTTATTATATTATTAAGTAACAGATTTTGGACCATTCATCCTGTTTAAAAAGGGTAAGTCTGAAAACACACTAATAATGAGGGAAAGTCTACCAACATTTAGTCTCCCTTTTCACTGTATGCAAACAGATAACAGAGGTAGACTTCTGCCTACCCTACATTGTTCATACAGCAGGAATAAGAAGAGGCGCTTCTGCCTAGACACCGGGCAGAATGCAACGGCCCCTAGAAATTCGCTCTACTGGCATCTGACTTCAAGTTCAAATAAGTGAGATCATATTTCTGGTGCTGAAACAAGTCACCAAGCAGCCTTTTGCATTCCTGTATGTATGTTGTGAAATGTAATTAGGGTAACAAATGATCGTGTCTTTAGTTAAAATTTTGATGTTTTTAATTATCAGTTTTGGACATTCATTTTTATTTGTATAAAATATGGCAATGATATTATTTAACTGTTGAATTTTCTTTGTTGCCCTTAAATTTATGCCCAAGGTAATTGTCTCATTCACTTCACATTAGCAGCAGCCCGGAAATTTATCATCTAAATCATTACATTTCTGAGAGTAAAAAGTAATGATGATAATGATGGGACAATAGAAGTAAGCTGGGGTTTTCCAGGAGGAACGTGGGGAAAGTGAGATGAAGGGCCTCCCTGAATATACTATGCCTAGTGAGAAAAACTAATTCAATTCCCTCACAGTGGAAGAAAAAAGTGAATCGGAGAAAAAAAATATTATTTAAAGGTGCCAAAACTCTATGAGAAGCCATCAAAAATTTCATCCTAAAGATGTCTCTAATAAGTGCCCTAATAATTTTAGGAGATGACTAGGAAACAATAAAAACCCAGGACTGTTCATCCTGCCCAGTTCGTTCCTTTTAGCAAAGACCCAATGTTAAGACCAATCTTGTGGTCCCCACCATTTTAATGTACATTTTTGCACCACAGAGAACAGAAGGGAAGTAACAACTTGATAAATAATCCAGGGAAAATAGCCTTCCCTTAAGCTTGAACTCTGAGAATGTAATGAAAATAAACAGAATATGTTATTTATCTAGAAACAGGCATGGTGAATCACTTTTTATTAAAAAAAAGTTTCAGAGAAGAAAATAGCACTAGAGATCTTGGACCTTTTGAATAATTGTTTGCTCTAAAAAAGAGGAATGGTCAATATTCTAAAAATCTACATGGAATTCTTTCCTCAGAAATGGATTTGCTTCTGGAAACTGAAGAAGCTTTTAGAAACGTGTATGTCAGTTCAGCAATAGTTTAAAGAGGGTATACCTTCGATGAAACAAAAGCAGGCCAAGATGAAAAATAAGGTATAAGAAGAAATTGTGGAAAAATTAAACATTCACATATCATATTAAATATCCACATAATAATCCTAACTGAATATAATGGTTTATAAAACAGCTTTTTGGAGGATTAATATATTTTTTGAGGATAAAGCATAGATGAAAGATAGACAAATACCTAGCAATGTTGAGGTCTCTGATTTGGTTTCTTCCCGTTTCTGCATTTGGATTCCTTAGGACATTCATATACCCATAAGAAATTTCCATTTGATTAAAATTTTTCAAGACACTTTCCTCTCAGTGACACGTAGGAGTTGAAATTAATATAAATGAACACTGCATATGTGGAGTAAAATGTGTACTTTTCTAACAGAGTAGTGCTAGAAAGTTAAAACTTTCCCTCCATTTGGTTTTCTAAAATTTATCAAAAATAGCCTTTATATTGAACCACAGGCTCAAACCAAATGATAAAATTGGATCATTATTCATTCATTTTTGTAACTCTTAGTTGAGCAGTTAAATGTAGCTTAAAGGGAATTGGTCCTGGTCTTTTTTAGTGAACTTTGGAGTGTTTTGTTAACTAATGATCTTGGAAGTTTTTTGTGTCCTGTGAGAATCAGGTTGTGCTGGAGGACAGAGCAGAAAGCAAGACTAACGATTCTAGTCTATCTGGACTTTTCATCAGTAGAGCTTATGTTATCGTTCTCCCTACACATCATAGATAGGGAGCTGAAATACAAAGACAAGATAACTTCTACTATGCTTTTATTGGAAAATTTTCTGAAAAAATATTGAGAATTCGATTTGAGGAAAAATCTACTCAGTACATCTGAAAGCTGTTTAAGGTTCCTAAATTTTCTCTCAAAATGTCTTACACACTGTCAACTTTACGCAGACTTAAGTTTCCAGGATTATTACATTTGGGAAATTTTGTAAGCAATAGTTATCTAGCTGCAGAAGTATAGCTACGTAAAAAATATATCAATTAGAATAAATGGTGAGAGGACAAGTAAGGTAAGGAATTGTATTTTCATGAGATATTCCTAGTTATTGGCATATCATTGATCTGGAGCTAAGAATACTTGGCACACTAAATTTCAGTCATTCGTGTAGCCATCATTTCATACCATCTATTATATTCTGTTATTTAGTTCACAAAATATTTGAATCAACTCATTTACTTAGGTACTTTATTGTTAAAAGGAGATAGTATATCAATATATAAATTATTGTTTTGATATGATAAATATTTTACTATAATTATATATCTTACAATGTAAAAAGATAGCTATTAATATTAAAAATTCTCTGTGCTACAACAACCAAAATCAGCTCATTTTGACCATTGGTATATGTATTACATTTCACAAAATGCAATATACTCAGAAGTTAATGCACATAAACATATTTGCTACATCTAAAAAGTCAGGAGAATGTAAGATATTAAGAGTATGCAGCAGTAGACGTTTGTGAAATTTTGTAAGCAAGTTATTTAGCTTCAGAAGTATAAGCAGAGGAAAGGACGTCATTTAAAATAAATGGTGAGAGTGTTAGTAGTGTAAAGAATTGGATTTTTATGACACATTCTTAGTAAATATTGCAATTTACAACGTTTACTTTTAATCAGTATTTAAGTAACTCTCCAGATTTTTGATTTGCATATCTGTGAACTAGTAATAGTCTTATGAATATCATTTAGTTATAATGATATCTATATGCAAATTGGTTGCACCAAACATGGCTATTCACAGGACATGATTTTATAAATATTTTATTGGTGTTTCATTAATGAAACATTTTCAAAATTATCTCAAGCTCTGCTTTGATAGTTCTAAGAACTTCTTTAAAACAGGATTATTAAGAGATCTGGAAGTATTAGCCTATCATTTAATGGGAAAAAAATATATTCACGCATAGTGACTTCAATAAGAAAACAAGTATTATTTTTCCAGCCAGATATAAACTTGACTCTACATCAGAACACTTATATAGATGCCACTTTACACTTCAAGATGCAGAGTAAAAGAGGCGTAGAAGGATGGTCTTAATGGTCTTCTCTAACATGAGATATAGAAGATTATAAGTTCACCAAATAATTAAGTTACTATGCATTTCACATATATTCAACTTTAAAATAATACTTTGATTATATGAATATAACCAAAAGATCACTAAATTACATTAAAAATGAAATGGAGGCCTTGTTACTTAAAAAAATAAGTAGAAAGTGATGTTAAAATTTGAGGCTGATTTCTTTGCTGAGACTGAGTACATGTGAAGAAGGAAAAATGTTGCTTAGCTATCAGCTCCTTTGTACAGCAGGAAGGGATAAAAGGCTATTTATAAATAAATTAGAATAATCTCTACTTCATCCAAGAATAGGAGAGAATTAGAATTTTTATTAGATGGAAATCACTATTTTTGGAAACGAGATGATGTGTCCACTTGAAAAATCAACACCACTTAAAGGACATAGCTAGTTACAGTATTTTCCCCCTCATGGGTGAAATTATAAATTTATAAATGTATATATATTGTAAATTAAAAATACACAGACTAGAGTAAAACAAAATAAAAAAGAGATAAAAAATGATTTTCTATCGATCGAACACAGGTAATCTTACCTATGTTAGAAACCCACCAATACACTTTAAGAAAAGTTAAAATATCATAGAAATACTTTGATATAAAAAAGAGGATAAGTAACAAAGTTGGAGGCACCATTTTGTGAAATCTTTAGGCAGTCTAGAGATGTGTAATTTTAAATTTATATTCTCATTGGCTTCATTTAAAATATCCAGGATATAAGCTGCTTGTTTTCTTATTCACAATTATATTTTTATCTGCAGCCTTGATACATTTTGTTCACTTCTCAGCAGTCTGTATATCTTCAGAGAATTAACTGAAAAAAAAAACATGAGAGAATCAGGATATGAGAAATCTAAGAAAGTTATGTGAGTTTTCTGTTGACTTCTGTATAGCCATGGAAATTAGTTAGAATGCAAATAACATTTTAGATTATTATATTGAGTCATCTACTTGACTAATCTGTTTTTCCTAAAGATTTTATGCCTGTATGAAAAAATAAGAATAATTCTGTATAATTTTCATCAATATGATTTACTCTTTATTATTCAAGGTTCAATGTTAAATATTCAATTATTCAATGTTATTTTCTTACATATATAATTTGAAAAAAGTTTCCATTTTCTCATATTTGATATTATATAATTTGAGGATTATCTCAAGATGACTTACTATTTTTATTCTCTATTAAGAGAAAAAATCCATCTTTAGAGATCAGTACCTTTGTTTTCACTTCCAGATTTTCTAAACAAATATAAGCAAAATAAAATGTTGTTTCTTTTTATTTTTGTTCCTTGTAAGAGTAACTTAGAAGACTGATAGTAGTTCTACATCCTAACTTAAAAGTATTAACTTCTGAATACGTATACAATTACATGATAGAGCCAGAGATAGCTTACAATTCACACATTTATAAACTATTGAAAAACATTGACTAGGTGAAAGACACTATATGTTTCATAGAAACAATACAGTGATGAAGCAGACACACACACTATCCTTAACAAGCTTACCAGCAAGTATGGTAGATAAAAATAATAAAACAATAAGTGAGCAATAGCACCATTGCGATTCTGCTCAAAGTAGGTGTAAAATGGTAAGCTATCTAAATCTGAAGAGAAAAATCAAGTGTGACAGGAAGAGTTGTATTTTTCACTTGATAAGGGTACACCTTTGTCCTAAGTGGTACCAGGAGAGGGTGAGGAAAATTTTAGAAGAAGACTGTTATAGTTTGGCTCTGTGTTCTCACCTAAGTCTCATGTCAAATTATAATCCTCAGTGTTGGAAGTGGGGTTGACAGGAAGTTGATTGGATCATAGGGATGGTTTCTAATGGTTTAGCACCATAGTGGTGTCTCATGATAGAGTTCTCATGAGATCTGGTTGTTTAAAAATGTGTAGCACCTCCCCCTTCACTCTCTCTTCCTCCTGCTCCCACCACCTAAGACTTACTTGTTTCCCCCTTTGCCTTCTGCCATGATTGTAAAGTTCCTGAGGCCTCCCCAGAAGCAGAAGGCTGTGTAGCCCACAGAATCATGAGCTGATTAAACCTCTTTTCTTTATAAATTAGCCATTCTCAGGTATGTCTTTATAGCAGTGCAAGAATGAACTAATACAGAAAATTAATATGAGAAAGTGAGGCATTGATATAAAGATACCTGAAAATGTGGAAGCAACTTTGGAACTGGGTAATGCACAGAGGTTGGAACAGTTTGGAGAGCTCAGAAGAAGGAAGGAAGATGAGGGAAAGTTTAGAACTTCTTAGAGATTTGTTGAATGGTTGTGAACAAAATGCTGACAGCGATATGGACAGTGAAGTCCAGGCTGAGCTTGTCTCTGATACAGATGAGGAACTTATTGGGAACTGGAGTAAAGTTCAATCTTGCTGTGCTTTAACAAAGAGACTGGCAGCATTGTGTCCCTGCTTTAGGGATCTGTGGAACTTTGAACTTGAGAGTGATTATTTACAGTATCTGGCAGAAGAAATTTCTAAGCAGCAAAGCATTCAAGGGGTGGCCTGGCTGCTTCCAACAGCATATGGCCATATGTGTGAGCAAAGAGATGTACTGAAACTGGAACTTAAATTTAAAAGGAAAGCAAAGCATAAAAGTTTAGAAAATTTGTAGACTGACCATGTGGTAGAAAAGGGAAACCCATTTTCTGGGGAGAAATTCAACCTGGCTGCAGAAATTTGCATAAGTAAAAAGAAGCCAAATATTAATGGCCAAGACAATGAGAAAAATGCCTTGAAGGCATTTCAGATAACTTTGTGGCAGCCCCTCCCATCACATGCCTGGAGACCTAGGAGAGAAGAATGGTTTTGTGGGTTGGGCAAGGCCCTGCTGTTCTGTGCAACCTTGGGACACTGCTCCCTGTGTCCTAACTGCTCCAGCTCCAGTCATGGCTAAAAGGGCCCAAGATTTGTCTCAGGCTTCTGGTCCAGAGGGTGCCAGCCATAAACCTTGGGGACATCTATGTGATATGAAGCCTGTAGGTACACAGAGGGCAAGAGACGAGGCTTGGGAGCCTACACTTAGATCTCAGAGGATGTATGGAAAGGCCTGAATGTCCAGGCAGAAGTCTGCTGCAGGAGCAGAACTAGGGCAGTGCAGATGGGAAATGTGGGGTTGGAACCCCCGCACAGAGTCCCTACTGGGGCAATGGCTAGTGAAGCTGTGAGAAGAGGGCCACTGTCATATTTTTCCTGATCATTTGGATGTCTATCTCTGTATCTATTTCAGAAGGTGACAATCACAGTATATTTTGAGATTAAGATCATTAAACACATGTTTTTCAATCAGTTAAACTCATAAAGAAAGCATATATTATCACTTACAATATTCAGCTTTTTATATATTTACCTATCAATTCTGAAATATCTCAAAGGCCAACTGTATTTGATAGTCCTGGACATATTTTTGAAAAAAAAATTTGTATCTTTTTATATTCCTTTTGAAATTATTTTTGTTTGAAAGAATAATTTTTATATAGTAATCTATGTTGAAAAGAGGGTGCATTATCATGTTAAAATCCAAAGGTCAGACATCTGTGAAAATTGCACAATTTGCTAAAAACCAAAAAGCTGAGAAAATTTATTCTGCATCATCTCAATATAAATTGTAGATCAAATATGATTTGGATTGACAATGGTAGAAATGAACTGTGTTCCACTTAACATCTAAAATATCAGAGTTGGTTATGCTGTGAGTTGTATGTGGACTAACGTTAAGCTAGCCAAGAATTTTCTTGGTGTTCTTATCTTCTGTATGTGTCTCTTGAATTTCAGATGATCTGACATTTATACCTTCAAGGAAAGCGCTAAATATTTTTTACATTCATTATAGCTAGTGATTACTTATTTGGATATTCATTTTTTTCTGTAAACATATTTACTTTGTGAGTCAACCAATCTACTTCAAATATAATTTTAAGTAATTTATTCTTACTATGTGGTTGTGCATTAGGGAATATATTTGAAGCAGTCTGCATATTGAGAAGTATTTTAGAAGAGGAGACAGACAATTCATTTTTTTCCTTGGAATCAAGAACATTCACACAAATAAAAATTATAGCTATCATTTATTCATGGCCTACTTTGTGCCAAACACTTTATGTACATATATGCTCAGTTAGCCTCACTAAGTAGTTGCAAAAATTCACTAAACTGTCTTAATTTGCAATGATCATTTTATAATGAAAGTTTAATAAAATGTTTTCTACAAAAGTTCACTTTGAGAAAAAAGAAAATGGTCAAAAGTAATATTTTTGTTGCTACCGTAATCAGTTTTGGTCTATATACTTTCCCAATGCATGAGCATCTAAAGCATTGCAACTTATTCATTTTCATATTACCCAAATATTTTAACACAAAATCTACTTATCAAGAATTGTGAAGGTCAAGTGTGGGAGGAGGGAGAGAAACAGAAAAAGATAACTATTGAGTTCTAGGCTTAGTACCTGGGTGACAAAATAATATGTACATCAAACCTCCGTGACAGGAGTTTATATAATAAACCTGTACATGTATCCCTGGACCCAAAATAAAAGTCAAAAAATATATTATTTGTTAAAACCTAACTCTAATATACCTGCTGCAACAAAAACTACAGCTCTTGAAGATTTGAATGAATCCACAATCAATATCCTAAGAGTTAGTTTTCTCTGAAGTGATAGTGATATAGTATACAGGCGTCAAACATAGTTTCAGTGGAGAATATTAAATAACTAACTGAATGTTTCCCTTGAGTGAATACTAATCAAAGATTCAGTCCCAAACTACAGTAAAATGACAGCTATCAAATTATTTATGTATTCTCAAATAAAAAAGGTCTCAGAATGCATTAAAGTATGTGACTTCTAAGTATGGCATTTGTACATGAAAATCTCATAAAGCATAGCCACTTCTACCCTTTCTGATATCCTTTAAAAAATGATTATTTTCTTATAGTTGGTGGAATAGAAACGTCTGAAATAAATTTAGTCATATTTTGTAGTTATATAATCTATGCTGTTAAAAGAATTATATGTAAGTATATACTACATATGTATAACATATGTGGGATTATACATATTTGTTTTGCTTTTTTCTCATTTCCATAGATGGAACAATAATTAGGACCTTCCAGTCCCTACAATAAACATCTTATGTATCATCTTGAAAATAAGGTTCTTGATATTTCAGTTAAAAAGAAAAAAAAAAACAGAAATGCTTTATGTTTAGATCTTGTTACATCTGTCAAAGACAACTCATTTAAGGAAAAAAAAATTAGAAATAATTTTGTTAATGGATCTTTATGCTTGGGAGCTTCTGGGAAGTATTTGCCCAGCCTTTGGTAAGTGCTCTGTGGAGAACATAGCAAGAAATCAATTTTATGAAAGCAGCTAGCATCAGTCTCTCTCTCTCTCACTGTTTTTCGCTGACTCTCTTTTTTGTTTTTAACATTTTAATAAAAATTTATTATATACACTTAAGTTGTACAACATAATGTTTTGGTTTATGTATACATATTGAAATGATGATTATATCTAAGCCAATTAATGTAGACATAATCTCACATAGTTATCTTTTAATGTAACAGTACCTAAATGTGTTCTCTTAGCAAATTTTCAGTATAAAATATAATATTATGACCTATCACAGTGGTCCCCGACCTTTTTGGCATCAGGGACTGGTTCCCTGTAAGACAATTTTTCCACAGACTGGGGATGCGGGGTGGGAGGATGGTTTCAGGATGATTCAAACACATTACATTTACTGTACACTTTATTCCTATTATTATTATTATATTGTAATAGATAATGAAATAATTATACAACTCACCACAGTACAGAATCAGTGGGATCCCTGAGCTTGTTGTCCTGCAACTAGACAGTCCCATCTGGGGATGATGAGTGACAGTGACACCCGAAGTGTGTTGCCTATGTTTAACTTACTCTGTAATGTCATTTTGGTTGCTGTCGCTGAAGAAGACCCTGCTTCACAAAGATAGGATGTTGGAAATGGAAGCAGGCTTTCCACTGCTTTTGTGGCAATCTCAGGATATTCCATCTTGACCTTGACTTTAATCCAAAACGTTTGGAGATTTGAAGTTGTCTCAAACATACTTTTAAGGCCACTGTCATTTGTGATCTCAAGCTGTTGATCCTTTTCTAACACAGACGAAATTGATTCACCTGGCTTATTCACAAATGGGTCATGGATCCATTCCTTCCCAGTTTGGGGGTCTTTTGTGGTTGGGAAGTAATGCTCAAACTCTTTGGAAAACTGAGATAGGTGATTATGAACAAGCTGGGAGAAAGGAGGCCCTGGCTAAGTCTCTTTCAAAACTCTGCTAATGTTTGAAACATGTCAGAAATTCCAGTGTTCACTCATCACCCCCATAATTCCAGTTGGGCTTTGAATGCAGCCACTTTTTCTGCCAACTTGAACACAGTCATCATTCTCCTCTGAAGTGACAGATTGAGTTTATTCAGTTGGTTGAATATGTCACATAACTAAGCAAGTTTTGCTACTGATTCTGTGTCACTGACATTTGCTGCCAGTGATAACTGTCTGTCTAAAAGAAATCTCTGGAGTGGCTCTCATAATTCAAAAACTCTGGACAGTGGTCTACCTTTAGAAAGCCATCTCACTTCAGTGTATGGGAAGACGTGTGTGCTCTGCGCCCATCTTCTCACCAAGCTGCACAAACAGACATGAGTTAAGGACATGTATTTAATGTGGTTGATCATTTTAATCACATCCTGCAAAAGTGTTGTTAAGTTCAGGTGACATTTTTCAGCTAGCCAGCAGTTCTCTATAGATGACACATTGCATAGACTCACATTCAGAAGCTACTTCTTTGACTCAAGTAGTAAAAGCAGAAAGCTGTCCAGTCATGGCAGCCACTTCCTCCATGAATATATCAACACAAAATGACCAATTCTGTTTTCCTGATAAGTAATTATTCAAAGACTTGAATAGTTCTGCAGCTGTGGTAGTGGTTGGAATAAAAAGTGCACATCCTCCTGCATATTCTCCTGAAAAATATATTGCACAGAAATAACATTTTTTCCTTGTCAACATCAGTAGACCCAGCAACTGGATTGTGTACCATGGTGACTTATTAATCCTCTCTAGCAATTTTGCCTCAGTATCCTCTGCTACTTTATCAATTTGTCTATCTCTGATGCTAGGGGAAAGAGGAACATGTACCACTTTTTGAACTGCTGTCTCTCCTAAAAGTTTATGACAAATGTCCTTAGCAGCAGGCAGGATCAACTCTTCACCAATAGTAAAGGGCTTCTTAGCTTTAGCAATACAGTTAGCCACTAAGAAGGATGCTCTCAATGCAGACACATTTGATAAAGTGGTGGCCTTCAATAACGGTTTCTGTTCTTCATGTTCACGTATTTTGTTTTGAAAAACTCCAACATTTTGTCTTTTAATGCAGGGTGCTTAGTCTCCACGTGATGAAGCAGTTTTAAAGGTTTCATGGCTTCATTGGATAGCTGGTCGCCACATATTATACAAAGTGGGCTTGGAGAATGTGAATCACCTATTGCAGGGAACCCATAATTTAAGTAGGATTCTTGATATTTTCTTTTAAATGCAGCTTTTTGTTGTTGTTGGCAGTCTAAAAATCTTCCACTTTCCCGTCATTGGGGCTTTCCCCCTTTTCAAAGAAGCTCTCCAATGACCTTTTTTTTCACTCATTTTGGCAAGGTTTAGCTTGCGGGCTTACCAAAACTGTGACTGGGAGAGGTGCACATTGCAGGAAAGAGGCGCAGATGGAAGTGGTAAATGAAATAATGGGTGGACCTCGTATATACTGAAATAAATGTCTGATTCTGACTTAAAGACTGCCACTAGATGTAGCTATACAATTGAAGTACATCAACTCACTTGCCACTATAAAGTCTGCCATGAGATGCAGCTTAATAGTCAGTTGCTACTTACTGATAGGGCCTTGATATGAGTCTGCAAACAATTGACTTGGTGCAGTCAAACCTCCTTGCTAAGGTTAGCCTGTATTTGCCACCACTCTCCAGTGCTAGCATCACCAGCTCAGCTCCACTTCAGATCATCGGGCATTAGATTCTCATAGGGAGCATGCAACCTAGAACCCTTGCATGCACAGTCCATAATAGGGTTTGGGCTCCTATAAGAATCTAATGCAGCAGGTGATCTGACAGGAGGAGAAGCTCAGGCTCTAATGTGAGTGATGGGGAGCAGCTGTAAATACAGATGAAGCCGCTGACCTCTTGCTGTGTGGCCCGGTTCCTACCAGGCCACAGACTGGTACAGGTCTGTGGCGAATGGGTTAGAGACACCTGACCTATAGTCCTCATGCTGTACATTAGATCTCCAGACTTATTTATCCTGTATAACTGCAACTTTTTACCCTATGACCCCACTAGTTCTCTTTTTCTCCCCACCCTGCTTCCACTGCCTCTAGTAACCACAGTTCTAACACGTCCAGCTATTTTTTTTTTTTTCCTTGTGGGGACAGGGTTGTGTCATGTGCCCAGGCTGGTCTTGAACTCAAACTCATAGCAATCTGCCCATCTCCACCTCCTGAAGTGCTAGGATTACAGGTGTTAGCCACTGCACCTGGCCAATACTATGCTTGCTTTATCTATTCATCCATCAACAGACACTTACTTAGGTTCTTTCCATATCTTGACTATTGTGAATAATGCTGTATTAACATGGAAATTCATATATCTTTCAAGGAGGTGATTTAAGTTTCTTTGGGTATGAATCCAGAAGAAAGATTGCTGGGCCATATAGTAGTTCTAGTTTTAAGTTTTGAGATGTTTTCATGTAGTTTTTCATAATAGCTTTACCAGTCTATTCCCACCGACAGTGTACAAGGGTTTCGCTTTCTTCACACCCTTACCAACACTTGTTATTCTTGTCTTTTTTATAATAACCATCCTAACAGGTATAAGGTGATATCTCATTATGATTTTGACTTGCATTTCCCTGATGATTCATGACATTGAGGACCTTTTAATATACCTATTGGCCATATTTGTGTCTCTTTGGAAAAATATCAGTTCAAATCCTTTGCCCGTTTTCAAATCAACTTATTATTTGCTATGAAGTTGTGTGAGTTTCCTATATATTTTGGACATTAGCCCCCTATCAGATATATGGTTCACAAATATTTTCTCCCAATTCGTAGGCCGCCTTATCATTTTGTTGTTTGTTTCCTTTGAAGTGCAGAAGCTTTTTAGTTTGATGTAGTCCCTCTTGTTTATTTTTGCTTTTGTTACCTGTGCTTTTGGTATCCTATCCAAAAAATTATTGCCAAAGCCAACGTCAAAGAACTTTTCCCCTATGCTTTCTTCTAAGAGTTTTACAATTTCAGGTGTTACATTTGGGTCATTAGTGCATTTTCAAATTGATTTTTTGTATGTGATTTAAGATGGGGTCCTGTTTCATTTTTGCATGTGGATATGCAGTTTTTCCAGCACAATTTATTGAAGTGACTATCATTACCCATTGTGTCTTCTGGATGCTCATGTTAAAAATTAGTTGGCTGTCTGGGCTTGGGTTTGTTTCTGGGCTACCTACTCTGTTCCATTGGTCTATGAATCTGTTTTTATGCCAGTATCATACTCTTTGATTGCTATAGCTATAAATTATAATTTTGAAATCAGGAAGTGTGACGCTTCCAACTTTGTTTTCCTTCTCAGGATTACTTTAGCTATTCAGAATATTTTGTGGGTTCACAAGAATTTTGGAGTTGTATTTTCTTTTTTTCTTTCTGAGACAGGGTCTCACTCTGTCACCCAGGTTGGAGTGCGGTGGCATGATCATGGCTCACTGCAGCCTTGACCTCCTGGGCTCAGGTGATCCTCCCACCTCAGCCTCCTGGGTAGCTGACACTAGAGGTGTGCCAAAACATCCAGTTATTTGTGTGTGTGTGTGTGTGTGTGTGTGTGTGTGTGTGTGTGTTTTATTTTTTGTAGAGATGGGGTTTTGCCATATTGACCAGGCTGCAGAATTGTTTTATTTTTCTATTTGTGTAAAAATGACATTGGAACTTTGATAGGGATTGCATTTAATTTGCGTATTTATAATTTATTGTTTTTCCTCTTGCATTCTTTCTTGCCTTAATTCCCTCCTACTCTTTTTCTCATTCATTTGATTTCAACCACATAATTATTGCACTTAGAAGGTTCTCAAACATAGATGAAACTCTTTTTTGTTTTATGTAACTATGCTAAATCATTGCATGTGTTCAGTTGAAGTCTACTCTTTGTTCTTCAATATAAGAAAAATAAGAATATGTTGAATTTCAAGCGATTTAAAATTGTTTATCACCTACCTAACAAAGCTTTGGTAACAGAATAAAAATTGTTTATAGTAGAGAGTATGCTGAACTGCTGAAACTGTTTTATATGTTAAGTTATCCAATCTTAACAGTTCATCACACAAAGCCTCTGGTGGGCTTTCATTCCATAATATTGTTTCTGCTGCAAACATGAACATGTTTGATAAATACGGATTTTTCTTAGGCACTAATGGTTGAAGCTAATATACACACACACAATCATGTACTTGTTAGCATCCCCAAGAAACAGATACGTAAAATATATTTCAATGTGCTTTTTTTGTATGTTAGTTTCTTTCAGGTAAAAAAAAGTAACTTCTCTGGTTTCTGTCTCCCTCTTCCAATTCCCTCACATTGATGCAGGCTCATTTCGAAGAATTTGATATGTGAGGCACATTTCATCTTACCTGCCTTTTATTTTGTGTTTATCAGCTTTTAATTTAAAAAAAATGGACTGGGAGTGGTGGCTCATGCCTGTAATCCCAGCACTTTGGGAGGCCGAGGTGGGTGGATCACCTGAGGTCAGGAGTTTGAGACCAGCCTGGTTAATATGGTGAAACCCTGTCTCTACTAAAAATACAAAAATTAGCTGGGGCGGGCACCTGTAATCCCAGCTACTCGGGAGGTTGAAGCAGGAGAATCGCTTGAACCCAGGAGGTGGAGGTTGCAATGAGCCAAGATCATACCATTGCACTCCAGCTTGGGCAACAAGAGCAAAACTGTGTCTCAAAAAAAAAAAAAAAAAATGTTTTCCAGAAATAGTACATGTATTTACTATAATTAGCTGATCAATGAGACCTGCTACCCTGGTCACTTTCCTAGATTCCATGCCATTGTTCAAATTCCAGTTTATTCCAGAGGAATTACATGAAAGACAGTCAAGAGAGAGGAGAGGATCTAGTTTCTGTAGCCCTTGGCTTCCCCTAATCTTGTGTTGCAGGTTAAATCTTCTGCTCTCCTTCTTGCACTCTAATATCATGTCACATTAACTCCTAATAAGCCTTTTGTTCCAAAAACCACAAAGTCGTGCAGGTAGAAAGCATGTGTTTATCACCCTACTGCTCTCAATTTTCTGGAATAGTTAAATAATATGCTGATATTTCATATCAATATTTGCATATAATCACAACCTGAGTTTTAAGGTTGAAAATCTTACTACTCAAAGGTGATCTACTTAGCAGTGACACTGATATATAGTCCCTAGATAAAATATAGAATAGCCAGTTAAATTGTAAATTCAGATAAAAATAATTTTTAGAAATATTTTTAGTAGATGTATAGCCATTGGGACATACACATCCAAACAAGTATACAAGGGTTTATCTGAAATCCAAATTTAACTGGGCTACCTGCATCTATAGTTGCTAAATTTGCCACCCTACATTGGCACCAGTTGGGGAATTTTAGAAATGCAGGGTCTTAGGCTTCTTCTCAAATCTAATAATTTAAAATCTGAAATTCAAGAAGAATCAAAGGTGATTAATATACACATTAAAGTCTGAAAAGCACTAAGAATGCCAGCAGAACATTTGACTTATTCCTCACATATTCATCTTTCTCTCTTCTATGCAGGGAGTGTGGAGTACTAACTGGAGTTAGCATATGCGATATTGTTGACATGCTGCTATAATAGCTGTTCATCAAATGGATACTTTGTCCACAAAATCTGAAAAATCAATTAAATTTGTATCTACCCTCTTGTACTAATACTATGACTTCCTATGCAAATCTAGCTGACCGTTTTCTTTTTTAATTGTCATTGTCTAGTTACTGACTGTATTCTAACTAATCTGCTACCTTGCCCTGTACTAAAGTGATAAAATAATATCAAATACAATTTACTAAATACTATCTATCAAGAATTTCATGGTGCTTTATATACATATTTTTCATTTTATTATAACATTGCAAATGAAATATAAATGTCTCCTTTTTATGGTTAAACAATCTGAGGCTCAAACAGGGTAGGAAACTATCTCCCAGTTCCATGGGAGGAAAGTGAATGTCAGGGCTGGGACAAAATCTGTTCTTCAGGTTTCCACCACCACACCATCGTGTTAGGCTGCACATCATAGAAGCTGGCCTGTAATCACTCCTCCTCCTTCTCCTTGCCTCTTAATTTTTTTATAGTATTTCATTGAAAAGAAAGTTGGATTAAACTGCTTCTCTTCTTGAATTGCAGTCTTTGCGAAGAATCAGTGCTAACTTTTTTGAAAATTAAAGTATTTTATAAGACTGATATGTTACAATTAAAATAAGTCTGCATAGTTCTAATTAAAATTTCAATGACATCAGTGAAAAAATAAATTGTATATGGTAGGAGTGATTTATTGGCTCTAAAATGCAATTAATTTTGGTGAAAGATATTTCCTCTTTTGTCTGTTTTTCTTTTAGCATAAACCCTCTATTTCATTTTTAGCATAAATCCATATGTGCTTTTATGTCACTTAGTACAGAGCCTGGAGATAATTGTGCCATCCCTCCCTGGAAGCACTAGCTTAAGAGGGAACAAAGGACAGCAGGGAAAGGTCATACTTGTTCTAAATGAGTCGGATCTGAAGATGGAATTTCAGACACTATGCTGACTGTGTAGAGAAAATAATTCTGATACTTTAGATCATACTATATAGTTAACAGTTTACCACCTGCATAACATTAGTATCAGGTGGGCATGAATTTGCTCTCTTAATTTGCTCATAGCCCTTGTGTTATTGTTGTTGTTCTAACAATTTAAATAACTTAGTTCAAGTGGAGAATAAGCAAACATCAATGCTTTTTAATAATCTCTCTTTCAATACACAAGGCCCTTTGCTTTAGCTTTGCTTGCAATCGCTCCATGCCTAAACCTAACAGACACCACCAATGTGTGTGTAACTAATTCTTTTTTACATATTTTAGATGAAAACGAACAGCCTTTTCCCCAGGTTCTTTTACAAGGCTTTTTTGTATAAACAGATACTCCTGGTTGGCCATCACCTTGTAACAGGAAAGGGGTTTTTGATCCAGACCCCAAGAGAGGGTTCTTAGATCTTGCGCAAGAAACAATTCAGGGCAAGTCTGTAAAGTGAAAGCAAGTTTATTAAGAAAGCAGAGGGCCGGGCGTGGTGGCCCACGCCTGTAATCCCAGCACTTTGGGAGGCTGAAGCAGGCGGATCACGAGGTCAGGAGATCGAGACCATGGTGAAACCCCGTCTCTACTAAAAAATACAAAAAAATACAAAAAAAAAAATTAGCCGGGCGCGGTGGCGGGCGCCTGTAGTCCCAGCCACTCCGGAGGCTGAGGCAGGAGAATGGCGTGAACCCGGGAGGCGGAGCTTGCAGTGAGCCGAGACCGCGACACTGCACTCCAGCCTGGGTGACAGAGCAAGACTCCGTCTCAAAAAAAAAAAAAAAAAAAAAAGAGGAGCAAAAGAATGTCTACTCCATAGACAAAGCAATCCGGAGGGCTGCTGGTTGTCCAGATTTATGGTTATTTCTTGATTATATGCTAAACAAGGGGTGGATTATTCATGCCTCCTCCTTTTAGACCATATAGGGTAACTTCATAACATTGCCATGGCATTTGTAGACTGTCAAGGTGCTTGCTAGTGGGAGTGTAGCAGTGAGGATGACCAGACGTCACTCTCGTTGCCATCTTGGTTTTGGTGGGTTTTAGCTGGTGGGTTTAGTCTTTATTACCCGTATCTTGTTTTGACTTCCTATCTCAGTCTGTGACTTAGAATGCCTTAACTGTCTGGGAATGCAGCTCAGTAGGTCTTAGGCTTATTTTACTCAGCTCCTATTCAATATGGAATTGCTCTGGTTCACACACCTCTGACAATCTGACTAAACTTTTCTCAACCCATAATTTCTACACTTTCTAGCTAAAATCAACTGGCAACTGTGGAGGAAAAAGTAGGCCATTATGTAAAAGTAAAGTTTTGGGTAAATGCAGGTTAATAAATTGATGAGAATACAGGAGATCAAGAAAAGTTATGGATATGAGGAATAATTCAGAGGTATATACTGACCTATAGAAGACATTTTAAGAGAGGGATGATTTTATTAGTACTTCTTGCCTATGATCCAAATTTTTAACATTGCATGACCTCACTCATCTCAACATTTACCAGTTATGGATTCATGTGAGTTAACAAAGATCCATTTACATAAGGGATCAATATTTCCAGTCTGCCTGGGACAGCCCTGGGTTAGCCTGTTGTCCTGGCATAGTTATTAAGAGTATCTCTTTTGCCTGTAAAATTGTTGTGGTTTGGACAAATTATTCTATATTAACTCTAAATTTCAGGATCACAACAATAACTGGATGTATAAAAAGGCACCATTACATATTTGTTCAAAGGAACCACTTTCACTACTTTTCTAATGACTCTTAACTGAAATCAGATGCAACAAAAGAAATGAAATTTTTGGTGGCTGTTGGGCAAGCTGATGTTGACTATTGCTAACTAGGCCTGGAAGATATGTCATAGATAGGGCTTAGAGAATTACCAGAGCAATTGAAAGTAGCATTGAAAGAGGAGTTTAGTAAATAAGTATACTGAGGACAAACTTTGCATTTTTAAGAAAAGATTGATTTTACTCAAAATAACATGGAAGATACTTTCCTTTTTCTTGCTTTATCTTCTTTTCTGTTCACTCTTTTTCTTCTATTCTTTTCCCCATAGTTCTATTCTTTTCCTCCTTCTCTTCTTTCCTTTTGAAACCATAAACCAAAACTAAAATTCTAAGGCCCCCCAGTCATCTAAATGGACTTCCTCTTCAGCCAGGGCTCTTTAAATTTAACCTGAATGACTGGTTCAGGCCATGAAGGAAAGTGGGGGGTCAGATATGCCTTATTATAACTCTCTGGCATTAACATCAACAGACTTTAGGTCTGATAAGAAACATTTTATACCCTGTTCCTTCTGAGGACTGCTAGCTAAAAGCTTCACCTGTATAATGAAACTTTGGTCTCCACCACCTCTTATGACAACCCAAATATTCCTTTCTATTGATCCCAGGGCTTTAGACAAACTCCACCAATTGTCAACCAGAAAATATTTAAATTTACCCATAACCTGGTAGCACAACCCTCACCCCACCCCCTGCTTTGGGTTGTCCCTCCTTTCTGGACCAAACCAATCTATTTCTTAATCTACTTGATTGTTGTCTCATGACTCCCTAAAATGTATAAAACCAAGCTGCACCCCAACCACCTTAGGCACGTCGTCAGGACTTCCTGAGTCTGGGTCATGGGCACGCATCCTCAACCTTGCCAAAATAAACTTTCTGAATTAACTGAGACCTGTCTCAGGCTTTCTAGGTTTACAAAACTCATGCCCCTATAATCAGAACTCAGAACTTATTTCATGTTTAAGGGCTTAATGTTTCTAGCACTCTAGAGGTTTAGCGGGATTTTACGAGTTCTCCTGAGAATAGAACCACAATCAGTATCCACACTTCCATAAGAAAAGATTTTGAGTGCTAAAGAAATGGACTATGAAAAAAAAAAATCGATGTAAGTCAACCATCTGTAAGTGGCCTCTTGCCTGTGATATATTAATACCATTTGTATGCAAGAAAGGAAAGGAGAACAATGTCCACATCACTCAAGTAACCTATGTGTACTTGTTTGTCGTGATATTGATGCCATGATTTGGTATATTAATAACATCTAATACCCTTATCAGATAATTTCTATTTGCTGAAGTGAGACACTTCACTTCCCTAAGAAAAATATTTTTACAATCTGCCCTTGTATTTAAGTATTGCCAGATTCTTTGGGCAAAGATAGAACTGGTCAATTTGACAACTTAGGAATGCTAAGCCATATGTTTATAAGGAAGACAGATACATGTATTAGAATGGATTTGCTTATTTAATATCTCCTACTAGATTGGAACTCTATAACGGTGTAGACTAAATACACCTTGCTTACCTTCTTACAGAGTGTTTAACATTGTGCATGGTACCTAATATGTGCTGAATAAATTTTTATTGAATGAATACATAAATCATTTTAAAAGAGTAACATGGAAAGAGGAAATATATTAATAAAATAATCCTAATCATGCCAAGTAAGAAACATCAGGAAACTAAATTGGATGGATAGTGATATTTTCTTTTCTCTAAAATCATATAAGATGATAGAATTTACCTTTGGATAATTTTGTTAGGATGATTTTTGTATTTGTTTTATTATATATTATCTCATTCATTGTAATCTTTATATTCATAATTTTCAAGTGTGAGTATCTATTAAAATCACAAACAGTTTTAACAATCATAAAATATTCGGTCTAACATTTTTTTATTATATGAGTCATGTCTGTTTTATCCGTGGAGTACTTGGATTAAGCCCTATGTTCATAGCCCTAAAAAAATTGAAGTCAAATAATCAGGATGTTTTTATTTAGGTTATAATATATGCTTAGCAATTTACTAGGTTGTATTAGTTAAAATTATATTTGTTTATGAACCAAGCAGAACCTCCAAAAAATAGATCCTTAAGTAAAGTAAAAGTTTACTCCTCTGTCATGGAAAAGAAATAAACAAGTAGACAGCCAATGGCTACTGTCAGGGAAGCAGGCTTCTCCTATCTTGTTGCTCCATTTATAAGGTCTCCAAATAGTTCAACATGGATGCTACAGTTTCAGACAATCAATGATATTCTAAATAGTTTATGGAAGAATATTTATTGAAAAAATTCCTTTCATTTTAAGGAATTTTCCTGGAAAAACATTATAATTTGTTCATAAATACCTTATTGGCTAGTACTTAATCATATGGTTACAACTTGTTACAAGAGATATTAAGAAATATTTTATATTAGAAGCAAAGCACCCAGCTAAAAGCCAGTTTGTCTATTGAGAAAGATAGTGAAATGATATTACAACAGTTTATTTCATATGAGATGTGGTGGAAAGAAACAAAATAAACAAAAGCAGCAATTCCTAATCTTATGGAGAACCTCAAGTGTATTGACTGTGATTTAGGATTCAACCAGAAAACAGAAGGATTAAATCTTGTGATAGAAAATATAGGGGACCTAGATATTCATGAAGGAAAAGAGCAACCTGGATAGAAACAGAAAACATAACACAGGCAAAGAATACAAATTCATTGAATGAATTAAAAGAAAATTGAGAGAATAAATGAACATTCAATTTTGTTGTTTGTTTTGAGAACAGCTCAGAGTCACACAATATGGTGAGGGAGCTACTTTAACATTTATAACTTAACATTATAATGTCAAATACTACTGCATTATACTTTTGGGGGCTTTGTGCAACTATATATATCAATTTTCATTAATAAACATATTTTTTGAAGTTTATACTCCTCTGTCTCTCAAAAGGGATAGAGGTAGAATATTCCTAGTATCTTAGAGACGTTATGATCCATCAGCTAATGAAACATATCCAGGTTGTACAAAATCCTTCTTTCCCTAAGTGCGACAACACTTCCAAAGCTTATAAGTATTTCTACTTAGACAAGGCCAACCTCCCACTATGCAGAAAGATGATAATGAAGAAATAACTTTAAAGACAACACTCATTAATCTTTGTGCTGTATCCATGAGGGAGGTAACTACTACATAAATTATACATTACATGCAAGGAGAGAGCTCACAAAATAAATAAATAGAGGTGTTAGAAGCAAAATTGGGACAGGAAAGCTTCTTTGTCCTTTAGTCTTTAGCCATTTTTTAGGGAAAGAAGGAAGACTATAAGTGTTTCACTAGATAAACAGCAAATGCAGAGATTGCAAAAATCAGACACTGCATCTAGTGTTTTTCATTTTGAAAATGTCTGCAATTGCTTAAGAATTCCCCTAGGTAACCATCTATGCTTCTTTATGTTGATGCCATTATTCTTTACAGATGACTGACGATTACTGCTAATTAAAGTATCAAGCACTGACTTTCTTTTCTGAACTTTGGAATGATTTAAGGGATTTCTTTAAGTATTAAGAAAAAACTTATTTTGCAGGGAGGTGAAAATTAAAGGTCTGAAATACCTGTTTGGGATTGCATTGCTGGAGGGGAAACTTTCTAGCTGGAAATTTATTCTCCATGGTTAGGGTTCTATGTCCGTTCCACCAATTTTAAAATGTGTTTTGTACAGCACTATCTATAAATGGTGCTGACCTTGTAAAGGATAAACGCTAACATAATGGAAAAAAAGAAAAGAAAAATTGAATTCTCAGTTGCTAGAGACTAAAGTGCTTCAAAATAATCACTGAGCCTGTTTCAGAAACTTCAGCCTGCAGAAATAAAGTGGCTCATCCACAACCATGGCATGTGAGTGGGAGAGAGCAGGGCCAGTGCTCACTCTGTTTTCCTTTAAAGAATGATAGGGCCTGGATCTGTTTAAGAAGAAACTGATAAGGTAATCAAAGTCATCACCAGAGGCATTGCTTTTGCATTTCATAGAAGCAGATTGTGAATGGGCTAGAAGTAGGTGATTCTTCTGCTGTTTGAGTTCTGAAGTCTTTTCTGTCTTATCTTCACTCTGCTTTTACATTTTTGTTTCTGACTATATTGTATTACAAATCATGTAGAGTCAACATATAAACCAGTTTTATGACTGGAATGCCATCACACATAAAATAATACAGATAATCATGAACAATTAAACATATGACACCCATTGAGTGTTATGTTATTTTGGTGACCATCTTATTCTGTAACACCTTATTTTAGCTACACAGTGCTGTTTTAATGTACTTCTTTCTGCCACAAGCATCCTCATATTCCACTATCCTCCCCTATTCTTATTATTATATTCTTATTTATATTTTCACTTGCTCTAAAAAGCATTATTAAGTTTCAAATGTTTTGTGAAACATGTTATAAAATACATGTATGTTTATAGAATGTGACATTCTTAAGGGAAGGTCCCTTTTTGAATCCATCTTTTTAAAATTAACTCATCTGAATTGATTCTGATCAATATATGTTTAAATATCTTGTATCTTGTATTTATCTTTTCAAATGATCCTTTATTTTCATGTACTACATAGACAGATGTTATCATAAAATCACATATAAAATCTGTTTTTATTATTATGGAATAAATCTCTTACATTATCAGAAATGTAACCATTACATCAGAAATGTAGTTCCATTGGTTAAACAATTTTGCCAGCTTGCAACAAATAATGACAAGTTAAATGTCAATGTTCCAAAAATTAAAATATCCATATTAGATCTTCATCCTTTTTTCTTTGTTCATTTTCAAATCAATGTACTTATTATTCTGCACACCTAAAAATGTTCATTGGGAAAACATAAGGTAGTTCCCAATGTATTAAAATATAATTCATACAGATTTTTAAAATTTTGTGATTTAAAACATGCTTTATGAAAATATATATTTGTGGAAATAAATGCCTGTACATATCACACATCTCAAATTTTTCTTTGCTTCTTTCCAACTGAGAGTGTGTGGTTAAAAAGAATAGAAGACGAAAGAGAGAAAAATTGACAGTACAGATCATGTTTTCAGTATTAATATAGTATACAACCTATCAGTTAACTGGATTTTTAAAAATCTAATGTCCCTCCACGTTTCGTTTTCTTTGGACAAGGCAATGAGATAAAACATTAAGAAACCATGTATTTTCTATAGGAAAACCCTACAACAACAAAATGTTGTAAAAAAAAAAAAGCAAAAATGATATTACCTATTACCAATTACTTACGAAAATGTGATTTCTGGGTATCTGAATGGAAAATGATGGATAATTCAAAGCTATATCATTATGTTCTGTTCCAAAAAGATAAAATATAGACTTAAAAAATCATCATAAATTATTGCCTTAATCACAGTTCAGTAGCAGTGCAGTACAATGAATTATTATCTTAGATTATCCACAACTAGGGAAGTATGTATACTGGTTCTTACCTCCTCCTTTCAACAGGTTGCACACATATTTATGCTCAGAATAAAACATTGCCATAGGGTTCCATTTAATCTGAAGAACATAATGTAAAAAAAATCTGAATTGTTGTTTGTTGCGTAAGTGATAAAGCAATGGGAGCTAATACTAAGTACCATACCTGATTTATTATTAAAAATACTTCATCTGATTCTCATAAAATTTCCATAAATGTTTATTAATTGGATACCATTATAATTACTTTGTGTATATGAGTACTTAAAATTCAAGTAAATTAAATAACTTGCCCAAAGTTAATAGCTGTAAGAGATGGGAACCCAGCAGGTCCCCACATTTGTTTGTTCAGGTTTTAACATGTACTGGTGTGTTGTGTTATGTGGAGGTTAGCTCCATTCAACCCATACTCCTCTTCCTAAGCCGGACTGTTTTGGTAGTGCCTTCACTCAAGGGGAATGTCTTTGCCTAATTTGCACAAAGACAATCTGGACCCAGGCTTGAACATTAATATGTATGATTCCAAAATTAATTTATGGTACTAACCATGCATTTTGACATACCAAGTAAACAGGCTTGAGTTGCTTTTCGAAGTATTTGTCGATATTTTAGAAGTCATATTCTCAACTGATTTATTTAGTAAAATGTCTTGAATTACCCCATCTCAGACAAAAGAGAACAGGACAGTTAAAAAGAGAGACTTAAATGGAATGTTCCTCAAAAGTCAGAAAACTCCAACTATTCTTGATTTAAAGAAAATTTTCAGTGCTCCAAGAAAAAAAAAAAAAGCCTCAGAGTGAGGTATGAATCTAAGGAAGTTTTGCATCACTAAGAGGCAGCAGAGACAGAGAAGGCCAAAAGTAGTATATAACAAGAAATAGGAAAATTTTGGAAGAAGAAAGCAGGTGGAACTGTACCAAATGATTTGGCAAAACGCAGGAGCTAAAACCTAAGTGGACTTGGGGAAGCCAGTAAAAGCTACTAGACTGCTAAGAATTATAGGAGACATACCTTACCCCTCAAGAAAATCAGATCTCTAGACACCTTCCCAGAATCCATGCCATCCAATAACTGTGTCTTCTTCAATGCCAGCAGAATTTTACTGTCTGAAGTCCTGGGCTCAAGGACACTGAGTTGAGCTGTGCTTCTGAATGAAGGATCTCGGGAATGGGAGAATTCACTTTATGGCAACAAGAGTGAGATACCCAAAGCTCTTGCCTGCTTGGGTTTCCTATTGCTGGCTGCTAGATTTATCACTCCTGATCTCGTTTTCTCAACCACTGCAGAAGCTTAGAGGATTTCTCTGTGGAGAGACTGAACTAAAGTCCCACCAATACTAACATTCAATGGTTTTCAACAAAATGGCCAAGTCCCTACTTTGTCATCCTGTTTTGATATCTCTCAATGGAGAAGGCGCATCCTACAGAGAGAGTCCAATCACATTCTTTACAGTTCTGTTCTTTAAATACAAACGTTTAAACAGAGATTATCAGATATCTGGATGTAACTCGTGTGGTGTACACCGAGGATTAACTACTCAAAATCCATTCAATCTTCATGTCCCTTCCCTTTTTATAATGTAGAGGTTTCCCAGGATCCCTTGCGGCTCAGGTCATGTGATCCTATTTTAGTCAGAATTTTCTGGATAAGGCTTCTAGAATTTTTTTTTTCTCAGCCAGTATCTCCTTCAGTACAATAACTCCAACCTTTTTTTCTATCTTCTTGCTCATAATGTAGACATAATATCTAGGTTCTGCAGCTATCCTGAGGCTGTGGGAAGGAAGTCAAATAATAAGGTGGCTCAGAAGTATAACAAAGGAGTTTGGTATCTTCATTACATTTTGAGTTGCAATTGCCCTTGCTTTTTGTTAAGGTGAGGATAGGGGGTGGTATATTTTCAAGATAATATTGACATGATAGATTTTTTTTCCCGATATTTAATTATAAAAGTTTAAACATAGAGCCAATTAGAAAAAAATTTACAATGACTGTGCATATCTACCACCTGGATTTTATCATTCATACTTTATTATATTTGATTTATCACACATCTAGCCATTCCTCTAGCCATCTAATTTTTGATGCATTTTAAAGCTAATTGCAGATCTCAGAACATGAGATCTCAATATTAATTTACAGATTTTTTTGCCTTTGATGTAAAATTTACATAAAAGAATATGGCTAAATCTTGTGTATTTGCTGAGTATAAATAAATATATACATCTGTGTAACCAAAATCTCTATGAATATGTAAAATGTGAGTATCACCCTAGACATTTCCCACAAGCCCCTTTCCAGTAAATCTCTGTTGACCCTCTTTCCACCAGAGACTAGCTCTTCTGAGTTTTTCCAGAAATTAGTTTCTCCAGCCTAGAATTTTATATAATTGGCCAGTACATATGTACTCTTTTGTAGATGGCTTTAATTTAACTTAATACAATTTGCATTTCTGGCCAGGCGTGGTGGCTCACACCTGTATCCCTGCACTTTGGGAGGCTGAGGCAGGAGGATCACTTGAGCTCACCAGTTCAAGACCATCCTGGCCAACATGGTGAAATGTTGTCTCTACAACAAATACAAAAAATTAGCTGGACATGGTTGTACGTGCCCGTAGTCTCAGTTACTCGGGAGGCTGTGGGAGGATGGCTTGAGCCCGAGAGATGGAGGTTACAGTGAGCTAAGATCATGCCACTACACTCCAGCCTGGGCAATAGAGCTAGGCTTTGTCTCAAAAACAAAAAAAGGAAAATATATATATATTTACATAAATATATATGTTTGTGTATATATACACACACACATAAATGTATATATACACACATACATACATAAATTATATGTATATATAGTTTGCATTTCTCTGATGATTAATGATAAACACACTTTCATGTGCTTATTGTTATTGTCATAGATTCTTTTATCTAATGTTTAATATTTCCCACTTTTGTTGAATTTTTCTTTTTTTAATATTAATTTGTATGAGTTATTTATATGTCCTGGATACAAGTCCTTCATCAGATGCATATTTTCTGAACATTTTTTTCAAGTTTGTGACTTCCCTATTCTTTTTCATAATGGTGTCTTTTGATAAGCAGAAGTTTTTACTTTTGATATATAACCTGCAGAATTTTTCTTACTTTATGATTTTTTAAAATGCTCTAAGAAATGTTTACCTACCCCCTACTTATGAATATATGCTTTAATATTTTCCTTCACACACTTTATGATTTTGGCTTTTATGTTTAAATCTATAATAAATCCCACAAAAATCTTGGTGTATTAAATGAGGTAGGAATTAAAGTTTATTTTCTTATTATTGACAGCCAGTTATTCCAGAACTGGTTGTGGAAAAGACTCTACTTTTCCCAATGGATTGATTTGGCTCTTTGGTAAAATACCAAATACCTGTAAAAGTATGGGTCTATTTTTGAACTTTCCAGTCTGCTCCAAGATCTTCTTGCCAGTCAGTTCACCAGTGTGTACACTGTCTTTACATGATGAATTTATAGGAAGTTTTGATATCAAGTAGTATAAGCCATTCAACTATTTTTCCCTTTTTTCAAAATTCCTTTAGATAGTCTAGGTTATTTGCATCTTGTATAAATTTTAAAAATTGCTGGTCAGTTTCTACTAAAATTCCTGTTTGTAATATAATTGATATTCCGTTGAATATTTAGAGACACTTTGTAGAGAATTGTCATTTAAAAAAATAGTTTTCTAAGCCACGAATAAGCTATATTTCTCCATATACTTAAGTCTCAGTTAATTTTTTCAGCAATAGTTTGTAGTTAGTGTAGAATTCTGGTAAATTTTATATTTTATTTCAAAAATTATATATTTTATAGATTCTATCATAATTTGAATTTTTAAGTATATATATTTTATTTTTTTATTGCCAGCATACAAATGTACAATTGTGTTTTTTGGCATGTCATCCTCGTACACAGGGACTCTTGAAAGAACTAGTCCACCATGGGCTCTGAACTTCCCCACACATTTTTGTTGAGTGTATCAAGAATGCAAGACTCTGACCATTCTCTACCTCAGCCATTTCTTAGCATTACATTTGCAGCAAGCTGCTGTTGTCATGAGTAATAAATTCTTTGTCTGTGACCCAGGAGTCTTGGGCCTTCTGCCAAAGAGAAAAAAAAGTGACAGGCTAACTTGTTAGCTTGTAAGTAGAATAAAATCTGAGACCCTTCACAGTTCTTGGTAACTCCATTGCTAAACTCCCTTATTAATTGTTAACAGTTGTTTTTTAGATTCCTTGGGATTTTCTGTATAAACAGTCATGCCATCTGATAGTTTATTTTTTTCACATTTATTGCTATTTAAAATTGACAAAATTGGCTGTACTTACTGTGCACAACACGATCAAAACAAGTGTTAATGAGGATGTGGAGAAAAGGAAACTCTAATAAAGATTTAATTCTTCCTTTCAAATCTCTAAGATTTTACCTTATTTTATTGTGATACCAATAGCTAGACCTTTAGTAAAATGTTCAATAGAAATGGCTAGAGTAAAAAACCTTTGCTTTTTCCCAATCCTAGATAAAAATCATTCAATATTTAGCTATTAAGCATGATGTCAGAAGTAGGTTTTTTGAACATGCCCTTTACTAGAATGAAAGTGTTTCCTTCTCTTCCTAGTTTGGTGACAGTTTTGACTATGAATAGTTATAGCATTAAAAAGATTGTCTAAAAGTCATAATTATCATATATTCTTTCTCCTTTATTCTATAAGTATAATGGATTATGTTTGAATATTCAATGTGTCTCCTAATTTGTCTTCTTGGAATAAGCCTTAACTGTTATAGTATATGGCTTTTTAAATTATTATTCCACTGTATATTGTTCCTAACTAGCCACTTTGGCCCTACATATGAAAAGATACTGTCAAACTATTATCTAATGTAAATCTGTCTTTGGCTCAGGGTGGCAGCATTATACCATGGTTTAAAACTTCAGCACTAAAGTTAGGCTACATAGCTTCAAAAATGCTTCTAGCATTTATTAATATTAATTTTCACCCTTTGAGAAGTTATTTAACCAGCCTTAGTTTAACCATCTCTGAAATTGTTATTGGGAACAATAACAGTACTATTGTCATACAACTGTGAGAATCAAGTGGAAAAATATGAATAAATAGCTGATAAATGAGAGCTTATCATTATTTGAGCAACATGTATTAAACATCTGACCTGATTGTTGCAACTGGAATAATCAGGTCAAGTCAGATACCTTAGTACATGAAATAATTACTATCTTATTACCTAAATGAACTGATTGTTTAATAAAACAGAATCAGTTGTAAATGTTTGATTCAGTTTCTGTGAAGTTTCAGCTTGATATTATGTAATATTGAAATTTTGGTAGTTTACTTTTTAAAAGTGAAAAACTAGCTTTTTTACATTTTTCACCAGATGTTCTTTTACCAGAAAGAAGACAAGAACCTGGGAAAAATTTCCTCTGTCCTTTCATATTTCTAGAGGAAATATGAGAAGAACCTGGTTAAAACAAAACATCTCAAGGGTAGAGGATGTGGGCTCTAAAATAATAAGTCTGAGACAAAGAGAGACTATAGAGGGAAAAAAATAATGTCTAGTGCTAGAAAGTAGAATAGAAATGGACTTAGGAATATGCCTCCTCACTTTGCTCTTCCTTCTGATACACTGAAGATAGCCTGCTCCCTACAATTTTAAGATACTTTCTTAAGATGCTTTTGTCAGGAAACTTTGAAGTAAATGGAGATACGAACTGGCTCTGGGAGAAATACAAATGATCAATAAAATCGTGAAATGATTCCCAACCTAACTAATAACCCATGGGATATGAATTAAAATAGCCATTCAGTAACTTGGGTGTTGGTCAGAAGACAATAATTTTAAAGTGCATTGTGTTTGATTTGTTATTTTAAACCAACAAATAGCTCTCTCTACATTCTATGACATAAACGATTCAGATTCCTTACATTGAAAAATCCTTAAAAATCACACCAATAAAAACACCATTGTATTAGTAATCTCGAGGTACTATTTGGGTCTGATGTAGTTACCTGAGGATCTATTTCTTATCTTATAATCATTTTAAAGAAAAGCTATTATTCAATAGAGGTAATATTTTTCATAAAAGTATTATGGAGTAGATGAAGGTTGACAATTTTATGCTTAAGAAAAATGTTTCCAAAATACAACATAATTTGGAAAATGATAGCATGTGAAAAAAAAGTCTCGAATTTATCTTTTTGCTCTATGCTTACTTTTCCATGCTTGTTTCTTTGTTCACTTGTAATATACTAGCTGCCTCCAGGCGAAATTCAATAGCTTTTGAATAGTAATAAACAAATCAACTTAGAACTTAGCTTGAGTTATGAAAGGTACATATATTTGGTTTTCAGGAGGAAAGGAAAGACTCATGTAGACAAAACCCAGTTAGCCCTGTGGAAATTAGGCCAAAGCAATGGGAACAACCTGAAATCACAGCATGACATTGAGTGCAATGAATAGATGAAAAGGAGCTTGAGGCTTAAAAAATAATCGTTTATAGCTTCCCTGCTTTCATGTTGGTGTTTTGGTTCATTACTTAGAAAATAAAGATACAAAGACCTAGAGAGTTAGATCATAATTAGAAAAGAGTCACTGGCTTTCAGGGACATTTGTTAGGAGAAAGAAATCTTTTTCTCACAATAATCCCGCAATTTAGTTCAGATGCTCCATATCCAAATTGAATGGATGTTGTGAGAAATCAGTCAGTTTGTAAGTCAGAATCTATCCACCTGGCACTAGCAAATCAAAGCAAGCATTACCCTGTGATCTACAACTTAGACACCAAACATGGTTAAATGTCCTAAAAGATATATGACATTGTGACCTGAAAATTCCAGGGAAGCACAGTGGTAGCTGATGTAGATTTTAGACTCAGGTTTAGAATCATATAGTTCATAGAGACTGGTCATAGGTTTTATGGCTAAACATTGTCTTTAGCATGGATATTTCTCTTTAAATTGTGTTTGAATAAAATATTATCTTAAATTTTTATATTATATAATTTTAACAATAAAAATAAAATTTTAAAACTGAAAATGAAAGTCGCGAAATTATCCTTAGCATGAATACAATGTTCAGATATTCATGGGATTGGAAAAAATTCACTCTAAGTTGTACTCTGTCAAGCAAATGTTGGGGGCCTAAACCATTTTCAAAGTAGTTGTATAACTATTTAGGTTTTAATTATATTTTACTATGACCTCAAAATAAGAGTGACAAGAAAAGAGATTAAAATAAATGCCCACTATTTGTCAGATATAGTGCAAAACACTTTAAAAATACTAGTTGATTTCATTCTTCAAGATAAACCTGCACATCTTCATTATCTTCATTTGAGAAATGAGAAAAAAATATTTTTGAGCAAATAAGTAGCCCAAGGTCATAATTCCACAGTGCACATTCTTTGCAGTGGGACATGAAAGGTGACATGGAAAATCTGCTTTTCACTATTCTCTGTGTCAAATCATCTTGTTTTTGACTTGAAGTATGCCTTGCTTAGACAAGGCCAGTCTTTAATAACCAGAAATGCATTTTCTATTCTGTCTTTTTCAAAACCTTGTTTGAAATTTTTCCTTAGAAAGTATACCTGATTACATTAATGGAAAAAATAAAAAGAAAAAACAAAGACAAAACAAACTAACAAATTATCCGTATACTTGGAATTATGTATCATGGGCGTTATAAATTTTATGTTATTTAGTACAATGAATTGTAATGCTGTCTGAAGTAATTCACAGCATCAAGACAGGGACCATGAATTAGTATAATTCTTTCCCATTGATTCTTTCCCATTCCTACCCACTACACTATGTATACATTGAGAAAATAATGGTGAAGCCATAAAATATTAAAACATTTGGCCTGGCGTGAAGTGCACACAGAAGCTAGCTATTAGAATGGTGTAGTGTAAAGATTATTTAAATGCCTATCTGTAGCCAAATACCCCCTTTGTAAAATTATTGCCTTCACCTCTTGAGTGTTCAGATGACTATAAAAATACATGCAGACATCACACTGGGGAAAACACTATTATGTAGTATAGATTCAGGGAAGATAAAAATGAAGAGGAAGAAGGAAAAAGGGAAGAAGAGGCAGAAGCAGTAGCAAAAAACATTTAATTCAAATCTGTGAAATTTTATTTAAAGCCAAGTACAGTGACGGTGATTGCAAGAAAAGTGACATTTTACTTTCAATAAAGACAACATTTTACCACTGAAAACTCCTCAGTTTTAACTCTACCCTGAGGGTAAAATAGAAGAAAGAAACTTTGGTTGAAATCTAGATTTGGTGCTTACTTGCTCTGTGACTTTCCTTAGGTTATGTAACCTTCCTGAGCCGCAGGTTTGTTGGTCTGTTTTTCCCCATGTAAATTGAAGAGAATATAGGCTACCTCACAGATGTTCTGGCGCAACTAAATGAGAGAGCATATGTAAAACACCTAGCAAATCCGTGGACATCAATAAATACTTATTTCTTCCAATAAAAGTTTTAAATAGATGTTCAGTTCAGACAGCAATTACTCTAGTTTGTCTTCCTTGAAAACATGGGCCACTGTTTTGTGTTTACTGTTAGTATGTTTTAAACACTTGAACAGTTCTTCCCCGCATATTTTCAAACCAGAATCAGACTTTCTTGCAGATTCATGGAGGATAAAACACAAACAAAAATACATTTAAATGTGTGTCAGCCAACTTTTTAACTCTATCAGTGTTAACGTAGTCTACACTGTTATATCCTTTCTCCTAACTCTATTTATCTAATTGAAATAAGATTTTGGGCTGTTCTCTTTTTAGCAAAGTGAGAGTATTGGATCAAGCTCTCTGATTAAAAAAATATGTATTTCTGGGAGTGTATCTGACCCATTTCCAAGTGTTCTAAGAAACTTATCTGGAGAAAGAAAGGCTTCCTAGTTCTCAGTCCCACCAGGATCCCAAAGATCCACATAATTCTTGAGGACTCATATTAACAGTTTTCTTAATGTCTGATGCAGCAAGATATTAAGTATTCCCTAAAAATTCCCACAGCAGGCAGCCTTCGAAGCATTGCATTGAGCAGGTCGGGGTAGTATGCCATAATCAATGACTTCCAAATTCAAGCAGAAAACTATTGTTAACTGACACAGCCACTTTAGTAATTAAATTGTTGGAGCCTTATGACATTTAATTTTGGCATTCCAATGAGATAGAACAAACTTGATACAGATACATCCCCTTTCATTTCTAATTTGATAAGAAGGCAGACTAAGACATATTTTCTAAAAAACATTATTAGAGTAGCTTTGAATTTTAAAATAATCTCACTGTATTAAAATTTTCCTGCATTAATTATTATCTGGTAAGTGCTTGTATGGAATCATAAACATATATTTTAAAGATGATTGCTTAGTCTATTTTATTTCCTTTTAATTGTGCACATTATTCAGGCTTTCCTGGATGGTTGTGATTTAATATTTCAAAATGGCACAACACAGCATGACTATTTATCTAAGAGTTTCAAGTAGTCATTGACATTCAATGCAACACCCTGAATGTGGGAGCACTTCCATATAAGTTGCATAAAAAAATAAGATTATCCTTGAACCTCATCATGGGGACTTAATTAGAAAGTTAGGTACAATTATAATAAAAAACTGTCACCCGAAAATCAAAACAAAATAAACTACTAAAGTTAACTTGTAGAATTAGCTAATTAATACATTAAGAATTATCTGTAAATAGTGCAAAAAAAAAGCATGGAAATAAATATTCTAATAGTTGGACTCTTTAGCAGAAGTTTAGTAGAATAGGGACAATGCAGAAAGACTCTAACATTAGAGCAATGTCGCTAGGTTCACAAAGAATTTGATATTAGAGACCATTTTATATCATTTCTCTAATTTGTTTATACAAATTTTAATTAATATGCATAGATATATAGATATTTAAATAATATATATAATAATACATAATAGTATAATTTATATATATTTCAATTAATAAGTTGATTTTATTAATTTGCTGTACACAGTTCTTTAACATACCAAGCTTGTAGTACAGTGAGAGGTTAGGGTTAACTTGTCTGAAACTAATGCCAACAAGCTGGACTCCTGTAGTGGGAACTGACCTTCTACAAATCTCCATGCAAATTTGCTATGGATGAGTGCTTAGGTTATCAATCCTAGTGGTCAGCTGAGATAGACAGGTTCATAGTTTGTCAGAGTGGTAAAAGCCAGGCTTAATCCCTAGCCCATTCACACTATGGGGCGGGGGAGCTGTCTCCTCCTCCACTACAGACACTGAAAAGATGAATTATTTCTGGATCACATAATGGTTGAATTTTTAGAATGTTATTAACCATATACAGGGCCTTGGCTTCCCTAATCATAAAATTCTAAACTCTATTTTATGTGGCCTACTTTTTTTGGAATCCAATCTTCAAAACTGCTAGATCTTGGTCCACTGTCCCAGAAAATGAGAAACAACAAGATAAACAGGTACCTGCTCTTCCTTCCATGAATTGCCCATACACACACACGCACACAAAAATCCTACTCTAAAATTAATATTATAATTAGTTCTTATTTGCTTAATCTCCAGTATTTCTCAAGAAGATTTTTTTTGTGATTGTCATGAAGTCTTGAGTCAAAGAAGTCACACAGGTGATCCTAGTATTTCATCTGTATCTACCTCTACATTGATACCCATATATGTTATAGCATGTATCTCTTATATTTTTATCAATGTAAGTGTATGTCTTCTTATAAGTCTCTACGTCAATTTCCATACCATCTTTATTTGCATGAGAATATAGGCCCTACTTAGTGAATTTCATGAGTCTTATCACATAATATTGTTAACCCACCCTTTCACACAATGTCCCTTATAGAGGTTTTTGCAAAAATAATTTCTAACTTGAGGTGGTGCTTATTATACTGTGAGTTGATTCTCTTTACTCTTACGTGCAATACGTAAGTCCTGGGTCTTTGGGTCAGCTCATTAAAGCACTCTTTGTTTTCTCAAAATGTTACACTCAAATTGTCTCTCACAGAAAAAAATAGTATTGAAAATTGTAAAATGCCCATCAGAGCTTTAGTACTTCTATTTTCATTGATGTGTCTTTATAAACATATATTATCTTTTTTAGATATAAAAGTTACATCCAATTATCTTCCTTTGACCAGAATTGATAGTAATGGAAAAATGGATTCTGTGCATCTCAAAAAAAAAAAAAAAAAAAAACCTAGATGAGGAAATCAGGCCAAGGTCAAAAATTTATAAAGAGGGAAAGTGGACAAAATCTAGTTAACTGTCACAGGGAGTTGGGGGAGTTATTTTTTAAAAGGCACAAGAAATAAGAGTAATGTTTTTTCAACTTGTTCATATACTCTGCCTTGTAACAACCCCTGTCATCTCACTTTTTTACTTGGACTTCTTTAATTTTGAATCTTTACTGAACTCAGTGCAAACATGACCCATATGTCAATAATGCTGTATGTTTTAGACTGGATAGAAGGAGCTCTGATTATTGTATAATGTTATTAGCGATAATGTATATTTGTGTTGTACTTTAGCCTTTCTAAAACTTTAATTTTCATTATTGTATTATCATCATCTTCAAGAAATACATTGACTATGAATTCTTATCCCCTTTTAAAGATATTAAAAACTAGGTTTAGCAATGATAAAAGGCAGACAACGTATTGTGTCTTATTTTTCCAGTCCTTAGACAGTTATAATGGATCCAGGCTTTGAATAACATTTATGTCTAGATGATAAGTTACAGTTCAGAGGTCAAATTTTATTTCACAAGAATAAATGTGGTGTATGTTGCTGTGAAATAACATGAATTTTTTGGAAATGTACTTATTTCACGAATTACAAGTTTTATAGTGTTCCATTTGGTTAAGAGAACTGATTAAATCGAGGACTATAGAAATGTATTTTAATGGAACACTTTATTCTAATGTTTTGGCTGTTTCTATTTGCTTACAAATGGCATTTCTGAAATGATAATTAATATTTTAAAAATCTTTTGAAAATAGAAACATGATTAAAACCTCTACTTTGGCCATGAGATTTTATCATTTTCATATATGTGTGTATATGGATGTATATATACATGCACATATACATGTACACACATTTTAATTCTATATAACAAATATACTGGGTAAGAAATTTAGCTATTCATGTTCTCATGCACTTTTTCTGCCTGCTATTTTACCGCTTCTGGAAATCATGTAATATATTACAGTAAAACACAACTGTGTCCTGTCCTAAGAACTTTTCTTCTTTGCTAACTTACTTTTAGATAATTACTTATGACGTCTGAGTACTTCAGCTATAAGTTCTGTTTTTCAGGAGACACTTTTGATTCTTGTTTTGTCTTTGGAAGGGGCCTGCAATCTGGGAGGTGTAAACTGAGGCTACATTCTTCTGTACTTTGTTGATAAGGAGCTCTAAAGGATTTCTACTAAGCTTCATAAAATTGAAACATTAGTTAAACCGAACAAACAACTTTTAACTGCCACATGGTGACAATCCATTTTTTAAAAAGGGACAACATAGCTATTTGAATACCTTAAAAAAAAAAAGAGAGAGAAAAACTACAGGCATACTTTGAAACCTGTAAAGGTATGATGGCCCAGCAATTATTGTGAAGATTTTAAAGCTATTGACACTTTTCCCGAAATGGATATTGGATAAGAAACAGAGTTTTCAAGTAGCATATTCTTTAATGTATTTTCATTTTCTTCTTCACTGAGAATTAACAAAGTACTTTGATGTATATCCTCAAGGCTTGTTGATTGTAATAGGAGAATAAATATTTTGAAGAGTGAGGAACAACTAAAAATTTCTGATTTGTCATACACTAAAAAAAAGTTTTTAAAAATAATGACAACAAATTTTAAAATCATTTTCATATTTAAAATTGCCATTATCCTTTAACATGACCTGAATAAATGCATCTAGAGATATTTGATTATATGCTTCGAACTTTTCTTTCTACTGGAGTTTTTGTTCCTTACTTTTGCGTGCAAAAACAAAAACAAAAACAAAAATCTGTCTGGCATGGCACTCAGGCTCATATATTTTTTCTATGTAGCTGGAAAACACTTCCTGCAATGTAGCTGAACTCAGAGAGTAGAAAAAAATCTTTGTACCATAATGAAATGAAATTGTATTTAAAAGTCTAAAAGAGAAGAAAATGAAGATTTTACTCAATAGTCAATATGTATGTGTTTGATGTATATTTACCATCATTCTATAAGTATTATCCCCAGTTTTGGCTAAAAATGAGGCAAATACAAGGGTCATTTAAGGCATGGGAGTTATTACTTCCAGGTGTGATTTGGGTATTACGGCATCTCAAGATAAAATCTACAAATAATACTGATCCGAACTACAGATCCCTTGACAAATCTTTAAATAGCCTTGATTATTATAGTTGAAGAATTCAATTTTCAGGGGGCTTATAAAAATAATGATTGACTGTGAATTGGGAATATAATTTAGTCTGCTTGCCTTTTACACAAAACTGGATTTCAAAAGCCAAAACGATTATGCTGCCTCCTTCCAAGTTTTAGCCAAAATGCCCTGAGAAGTGGGAAATTGGGAGAAAAGTTGCATTGGCATTGGATGTTGGGTCTCTGGGGAGAGTATTTCACTTTCAGAAATTTTGGGAAACATCTACCGTATATAACAGATTGTGTAGCTTCCAAGTTCCAAAATATCTGTTACAAATAATGTCTCCAAAGAATGAAGTGGCTTTGTCAAAAGTAATTACAAATTACTTTTAATGAAATCCTAAATAAGAAGAAATTACAAATACATCAGACATTTATTTTGCCTATATGTATTTTCTACCTATGCACAAGAGTTATGTGTAATACAAATCTAAGTAAGACT